>NC_000006.12:67458867-67761897 GCF_000001405.40 Homo sapiens | reverse complement strand
CTGCTGCATTTTGGCTTGGTTTGTTCTTTTGCTACTTGATTGAGGTGTTGAGTTGTTTATTTGAGACACCGTTTTCTTAATCTAGGTATTTATAAATGTGAAATTTCGTCTGTGTTTGCTGCATCCTGTATGTTTTGGTATGTTGTGTTTTCATTTTCATTCATCTCAAGAAGATATATCTTGTTTTCCCTTTAGAATTTTTCTTGAGCCATTAGGTATTTAGAAGTTTTTGTTTGATTTCCACATATTTCTAAATTTTCCAAGTTTTCTTCTCTTATTGACACGGTTTCATACTATTGGGATCACAAAAAAAACTTGATATAATTTAAAACTTTAAAAAAATTGTTAAGACTAGTTTTGTGGCCTAACATATAATCTCTGCTGGAGAATGTCCTGTGTATGCTTAAAAAGAATGTGTATTCTGCTGCTGTTGGATGAAATGTTACATATATGTCTTTTAGGTCCTTTTGTTTTATACAGTTGTTCAAGTCTGTTTTCTATTGATTTTCTGTCTGATCTATTCATTGTTAAAAGTGTGGAGCTGAAATCGCCTACTCTTATTGCATTATAATATTTGCTTTATATATCCATATATTTTGATGTTGAACAAATACATATTTACATTGCTTTTTTTTATACAAGTTTCATTTGGTTAGTTTTAGAAATGAGGTTTTACTCTGTTTCCAGGGTTGGACTTGAACCTCTGGGTTCAAGCCATCCTCCTGCCTCAGCCTTCCCAGTAGCTGGGACTACAGGCATGTGCCACCATGCCAAACAACACACCTTTTTCCTCTTGATATATTGACTTATTTATCATTATTTAATGGCTTTCTTTGTGTCTGTTGACAGCTTCTTACTTGTAGTATATTTTGTTTAAGTATAGCCACCCCAACTCTATTTTTTTTTTTTACCATTTTAATGGAATAACTTTTGCCATCCCTTCACTGACAGCCTGTGTCCTTAAAGCTAAAAAGTCAGTGTCTTCTAAATATTATATAGGTGGATCTTGTTTTTTATCTGTTAATTCACTCTACATCTTTTAATTGATTGGATAATTTAATTTATTCACATATAAAGCAACTATTGGTAGGTAAGGACTCACTACTGCCATTTTGTTAATTCTTTTCTGACTGTTAATGTAATCACTTTGTTTCATTCTTCCTTTTTCATTTTATAATTTTTTGTGACAATGCAAAAGAAGGGAATCAAAATTTCTTTTTATCTTTTGCATATCTACTACAGTATTTTTTTATTTGTGGTTGCCATGAGGCGTTTATAAAATATTTTACAGTTATAACAATCTATTTTAAGCTGCTTACATTTAACTTTCACTATATGCAGAAACTCCACACTTTAACTTATTTTTGCCCCAGATTTAAAAATATTGATATCATATTTTACATATTTTTAAATCATGTATCTATTGTTACTATAGTTATAATTATTTTTATCTTTGCCCTTTAACTTTTATACTAAAGTATTTTGTCTTTTAACTTTCATGCTAGAGTTGAAAGTGATTAATGCACCACCCTTACAATATTAGAATATTACAAGTGCTTTTCTACTTACAATGAGTTTATATAGATGTAACCATATCCTAAGTCATGCACTATCTGTATTCTTACCTTTACAGTTTCATACTTTCATATGTTTTCATTTTGCTTTTTAGTGACCTCTTATTTCAACATCAATAACTCCCTTTAGAGTTTATTCTAAGACAGATGTAGTGGTGATAAACTCCCACAGCTTTTGTTTGTCTGGAAAAGTCCTTATCTCTCCTTCATTTCTGCAATATACTCCTGACAGTTATATTCTTACTTGACAGGTTTCTTTTTCAGTACTTTGAATATATTATTCCACTCTTCCCTGCCCTGCAGGTTTCTGATGAAAAGTCCACTGATATTCTATGAATAGTTTCTTGTGTGTAATGTTTTGCTTTTCTCTTGCTGCTTTCAAAATCCTCTTTGTCCTTGAATTATGTAATTTTTATTATAATGTGTCTGTATTAGCCCATTATTGCATTTCCATAAAGAAATAGTTGAGATTGGGCAATTTATAAAGAAAAGAGGTTTAATTGGCTCACAGTTCTGCAGGCTGTACAGGAAACATTGTGCCAATATCCACTTGGCTTCTAGAGAGACCTCAGAAAGTTTTCAGTCATGGTTGAAGGCAAAGGGGGAGCCAGCCCATCACATGGCAGAGTGGTATGAAGAAAAAGATAGATGCCACACACTTTGAAACAACCAGATTGCATGATGACTCACTCACTATCATGAGGAGAGCACCATGCCATTCATGAGGGATCTGCCCTCGTGACCCAAACACCTCCAACCAGGCCCTACTAACATTGTGGATAACATTTCAACATCAGATTTGGAGATACACTCATCCAAACTATTTCAGAGTCTCAGTGAAAATCTCTTTATATTTAGTCAAATCAGCTTTTGAAGCTCTCTATGGAAGTTTTCAGTTCAGTCATCCTGTTCTTTAGCTTAAAATTTTTTGTTTGGTTTTATTTTATAGTTCCTTTTTCTTTACCTTCTCGTTTTGCTAATATATTGTTTTCTTGATTTCATTTAGTTATCTATTAGTCATCTCTTGTTGCTCACAGGGCTTCTTTAAGATGATTATTTTGAATTCTTTATCAGGCAATTTGTAAATCTCCATTCCTTTAGGGTTGCTCACTTGTGCCTTCTTTTGTTCTTTGGTGGTTTCATGTTTTCCTGATTATTTGTAATCCTTGTGCCCATGCATTCATGTCTGCACATTAGAAGAAACAGACATTCACTCTAGCCTCTACAGACTGGATGTGTCAGGTAAAACCTTCCAAAAGTCAACCTGTCCACACATTCTGGGTAGATTATCTGGTGAGGTTCATAGGCAGACTTGCCACTAGAGTTCTCAGGCAGACTGGCTTGATGCCTTGGTAAGCAGTTGGGCAGGCCTGTAGCCTGAGTTCATAGAGGCCAGCCTGGGGCTTGGAAATGTGAGGTTGGGCCTGGAAACTGGGTCCCCTGTGGAGGTCCTGAAGCTTGGGTCCTGAGTTCACAGTAGCTGGCATGGAGCCTGGGTCTGTGGGAAGCAGCCTAGTTATGGGGACTACTAGGGGCCCCAGACCTTGAGTTTGCTAGAGTGGGCCTGGAACCCTGGGTCCTCTGGGACTAGAGCTATGGGAAATAACCTGGAGCCCAGAGAAGGCCTGATGTTGGGGTTAGCCTGGAGCCTGGGTCTGTGGGCGCTTGTCTAGAATTTGGGAGTGGGGAGCTGACCTGTTACCTGGAGCTGTGGGGGCAAGCCTGAGGTATGGGTCCACAAGGGCTGACCTGAGGATGTATCTGTAGGTACTGGTCTGCAGGCTAGGTCTCTAGGGGGCTGGCCTGGAGCCTGGGGAAACCAAGGCTGGCCTGTTTTTGAGTAGACCTGAAGGCTGGTTCTGCTGGGGTGAACCTGGGTCCCAACTGCAAGGACAAGCCAGCCTAATATGTAGCGGTGATCCTGGAACCTAGGTCCATGGAGATTGGTCTGGTGTCAGCGGGGGCAGGCCTTGACACCGGGTCTGCTAGAGAGGGCCTAGACCCTGTGTCTGCTAGATCGTAGACTCACAGGGGCCAATCTGGTACTAGGCTGGTCTGGTGCCTGTATCTGTGGGGCCCAGCCCTGATGTTTGGTACACATATGCTGAGTGGTTATTTAGGTCATTGGCAGCCAGACTGGAGCTGAAGTCTGTGAATACCATACAATAGTCTGGGGTTGAAGGGGGATTGGCTGGCACTGGAGCAAGCCTGAAGCCTATGACCACAGGTAGTAGTATGGATCTTGAATCTGCAGGCTTGTCCTGGAGTCAGGGGCTGGAGCTACCTGCCTGGAACCTGGATTCATGGATAGCAGCCTAAATATGCGGTCTATGGGTCCTGTACTGGAGTCTGGAGCTGTGAGAGCTGGCCTGGTGATGGGGTGGATCTGGAATATGGGTCTTCTTGTGCTGACCTGAAGTCTGTGACTGTGGGAGCCAGTGTGGAGCCTCAAATTTTGGTCATTAGCCTAGGGCTTAAGGAACTAGCCTGCATCTGGGGTGGATCTCAAAACCTGGGACCATGGGTACTTGCCTGGAGACTGGAGCTGCAGCAGCTTCCTTGGAGCTCAGTCTCTGTGTGACAGCCTAGTGCTTGGGATGGCCAGGAGGCAAGGTCCACTGGTACTGGCCTTGAATTTGGAGCTTCAGATGCCAGGCAGGTGCTAGGGCTGAACTGGAGCCATGGTGGGCCTTGACCCGAATCTGCAGAGACTGAACCTGTGGCCTAGGGCCAGGCTAATTCTATGGTGGGCCTGAAAACTGGGGCTGTCGAGGAATAACCTTGCACTGGGTTTCACTAAGGCATGTCTGGTCCAGGGGTCTGTGGCAAAAAAGAGGTGCTCACTTCACTGTCTTTCCTCCAGATGGAGAATATCTCTGTGCTGTGGTGCTCTGACTTTGCAGAGGGAGTGACAAGGGTAATGTGAAATTTTCCCTCATACTTTCCTTAATCTGTCTTTTCCTTTTTTCTGTGCTATACTCACATACTGTAATCCATTACCTGAATTTCTGAGATATTATGAAGGCATTTTCATGTGTGGATAGTTGTTCAAGTTGATGTTTCTGCCAGGGGAAAAATGCTGGAAAGTCTATTATGCCATTTTGCTGATGTTACCCTTTCAGAAGCCTTACTTACTTCTTAGGATGTAATCCTAAGTCAATGATTTTAAAACTTTATGTATTTATAATATAACAAATTCAATCCATATCCACATCTTTTCCTCTAAGACTACTTTGGCTACATGTTACAGATTTTAATGTGCTGTGTTTTCATCATTATTCAACTTGAAATATTTTGTAATTTCTCTTATGATTTCTTCTTGTACATGAGTTATTTAGAAGTTTTTTTTTAAATTTTCCAATATTTGGAAATTCTACGGGTATAGTTCTATTAATTTCTAGCTTAATGCTGTTGATTACTTAGTCTGTTATAGAAGAATAAAACAGAGAAATGAATAAATCAAAGAAAAGTCCTAGCCTTCAAGCAATTTATATGCTAATAGGGGAGGTAGACAAAAAATTACATCAATTAATAAAATGTGTATCATATTTTGTATCAATTAATTTTGAGGGGGAAAAATTAAATAGATAAGGGGGCTAAAAGTCATCATATATGAGAGGTTGCAATTTAGTTTATATATCTTTGACCTAAATTGCTTATTACTACAAAATACAGGGACAGATTATTTCTATATGAACACCCACTGTCCTACTTTTCAGAAGTTATTAACTCCTTACATTGCTCACCAAGCATTTCATAGATTCTTCAGCTCAGTGCCCCAGGTGTGCATATGCTGAGGTTCCTCAGGATCCTGCCCAATATCCATGCTCTGTTATTTTTCTGCTGACCTGGCTAATGAATCTGACTGAAACAGTTGCAATACCTACTGTCTTGCTCAGAGCTGCCAACAATCCAAAATGGGGACCATCTATTCATTTTCTGATAGTAATGTTGCTCTCAAAGCTGGTTATTGGGTTATAACTACTGAAATGATTCCAGGTTTCTCATATCTTAGAATTCTCATGCCTTTGAGTTCTATGTCTACTGAATCACTGTTTCACAGAGAGAACTGGTATTTTATCCACTCTAATTCATGGCAACCTCATTGCATGCCTAAAATAACTGAAATAAATAAACAACTATTTACTTGATCAGAAATATCAACCCCTTCTCTCAGCTGCAAGAGTGGTTCCTCCCATTAGGGTTCAGATAATGCAATCTGATGTTACTGATGTTGCTGAAGCCATAGACATGCATGTTAATCCATGGTCATTTTTCTAAAGCTTGAATTATACAACTTCCTGCACATTGATGGTTTCCAAGCCCCTCATACCTTAAATATAATTCATTATCAGTCTACAGTATTATCTCTGCTAGGCAGAGATAGATTCTCTTTAATTGGCATCTGGGGCTATGCTCTTAACTCTGGAGAAAGCTGAGATTTCTCTAGCTTTCCTGACGTTGGTTCATTCAGTGGGTGAATATTAGCAACCAAACAAATTAGTGAATTCTCCTCAATTCTCAATTCAGTAAGTACATCAACTATTTTGGCTAAAGAATAAAATATTATGATGCCAACATTAAGAGAAACATATATTTCTGATTTCCAAGAGGTCACAAAATCCGTTGTGGGCAAGGAACAGGAAAGAGGAAAGAGCCAGGATGGTGTCCCCTATGTGTGTGTATGTATGCATGCATATGGGTTTGTGTGTAAATATGTATCTTCCATTCAAACGCATTTTGAGTTTGCGTGACAATTTTACTTCCTTTGAACTCCAAACAACTTTCTTCCTACTATCCCAAAGAATACTTGTAGCTGGGGTAGATATGACTTTTAGCATTTTGTGAAAATAAATCATTTCTAAAGAATATTGTTTTAGTTCAATTTTCATCTCTTTTTACAGGCAGTTGTTTAATGAAGCTAAATTATTTCCTATTTCAGTGGATATGTATGTGCTACAGCTGCATATTAATATCTTTGAGGCATTTATTTTTCTGCACTACAATGCTGGAAAAGATTTTGGCTACTGAAGGGCAAACTATTTCTAATTTTTTAAAAGTTTTTTACTCTATAGTACCTTCCTGTCCTGTGTTCCATTATTAACTACAGTAGAAGTGATGTAAAAGATATTTTTGCTTCACCTTTGTATGGTACCATTTGTCAAATCCTAAGAAAATTCCAAGGGTTTCCTTTCTTTTCGATACAGAACTAAGAATGAGTTAGAACCTAGTGTAAAAATAGTGTATAGACCACTCTGTCTACATGTGTCTGTTTCAAAATTTATAGTTTCCTTAGTTATTATACATTTCATTTTTGTGCTCTCCTTTGCTTCTATATGGCTGGGGGAGTCAGAAGACCATAAGCTCCATCTGTTTGTATCTGCTCAATACCTTTTTTTTAAAAATCAGCATCTCCATGACAATATTCTTTTGATAGACTTTGTGTGTGAGTCTTTTTATTCCTATTAGCAAATTCATGATTGATGTTTAAAGGGGGAGGGATGGAACAGTAATAACAGTGCCCAGTCCCAAAAGTAGAATGATAATTTATCCAATCCAGCCAGGGGAAGGAACCTTCTTCTTCTGTTCCAGTATGTGACAAGTATATGACCCACATCTGATCAATGAAATGTATAAAACAGTCTGCTGGGCTAAGCAAAGTATAGGATATAGGAACTTTTTTTGTCACTAATAAAAAAAAAGCACAAAAAGATGTTTGTTCTTTGGACTCATCAACTTTTTTCCCTGCTTGGTGCCCTATTCTATGAGGATGTAATGCTTCACACTGCAACTATCATTGGGGTAGATATGACTAAAATGTTGAATAAAGAGGAAGACCTTTGGAATTTGAGGATAGAATAAAATAAAATATCCAATCCTGGTTTTGAACTTTTCCAAATTTCTTGTATTTAAGAAAGAGTAAAACTGTTTATATTAAGATCCTATTAGTAAAATATTTTATAGAAAAAAATCTTAATAGAAACAGATACCAAAAGTCAGGCCAAGGTTAGCTTAATAATAAAAATTTTATGAAACACTTATATTTGCATATTACCTTTTCATCTCCATTTGCTTGGGGCTAGAGGACTTGGCATTTTATACCATTGCAATAATGAGCTTTCATATTAGGAGCGTTTTTGGAAAAAGTAGCAGATATTTACTTGGTTCATCTTTGGAAGTTAGAATACCTCCAAACTTGTTAAAAAAATCTGTGCCAGGTAGTCTATGCAGTCAAGGTCTATACAGTCAAAACAATAGCTCTATATTGAAGTTCTGCGTTTGGATTCAAAGCACAGCTTGGTTCAACAATGCTCTGTTAAGTATTTTAAAAATTATCTATCTATCCATCCATCTATCTAATCTATCTGCCCATCCATTGGAAGCAACCTCAGTACTTAGGGTTGGTTGTGCCATTCCAGTTTTCGAGTATAATTCCTGGGTCTCTTGGATAAATATAATCCTAACCCCTATGTCTGTTTAATAACAAGTGGAGTTATACCATTCATAAGCCATATAAATAGGACATATGCAGCTTCATGAGACAAATTAAAAATACCCATAAGCATTGCAGCCCACACTCACAATTTTTTTAAATTACATTTTAAAGTCACTATTATTCTGTCCAACAGTATGTCAATCTCTTTCTAAGGAGGAACTTTCTACTCCTATATCTGTCTGTGACCATTTGAATGCTTTAAAATAATTATGGAGTAGTACTGAGAGATTAATGGGGATCTTGAATTTTGACAGATGTATTCAATTTGGAGTCCCTGAAGAAATGCTAAAGATATTTAAGCAGAATGAAAATGATAATAAAAAATTGAGGTAAATAAAATGGAAGCAGATTCGGTCAAGAGCTACCTTGTCTACTGTGGAATATGCTGAAGTCAAGAAGTGAATTGGGCAGAGATATCTAAAGTGGCAATACCTAAGATATTAGTTTCTTTCCCATAAGATGAAGTTTCTAGACATTTAATATAAAATGTGTATGTATGTAAAGTGATGAAATTTATTTTGTAAACATATTCTTAACAAAAACTGAACTTTGATGACATATTTTAATACAAAATGTTATTGCGGTGTTTTCACATAACACTAATCCAGCAGGTGATTACTTAGAAGTGTAACTTGTTCATTGATAATCTATCCAAATAACATAAAGTTATCATCAATACTATAACACACTATATCAATGTTTAATATCGAAATTAAAAGATACTGTAGTGGGTGATGTGTTCATTTTTTCTCCAATCATCACAAGTGATTTCTTGTCAATTTCTGAAGTACGTTTAATTTAAATCTATGTATTTCTCAGAGAAAGCACAAGCATTATGAATGCCTTAGGAGACTGACTCAGTCCCATTTTGAGCGAGATTTATGCTTAAATTGGGAAAAAAATTGTTTTCCTTGAATTTGTAGCCTTTAGGATCTTAGGTTAATTGGAGCTTTCTGTCATGTTCTACAAGCCCCATCTGAGAAAAATCCTGAGTTACCCTGGATGAAACTCATTCTGAAATTGCCTTGGGACTAAAATAAGAGGTCAGTTTTTTCTTGCTCCTGGAACTAGGGAGAAAACACACAAGAAACAGCAGCCGGGGCCAGGCGCGGTGGCTCACGCCTGTAATCCTAGCACTTTGGGAGGCCGAGGCTGGCGGATCACGAGGTCAGGAGATCAAGACCATCCTGGCTAACATGGTGAAACCCCATCTCTACTAAAAATACAAAATATTAGCCGGGCGTGGTGGCCGGCGCCTGTAGTCCCAGCTCTTGGGAGGCTGAGGCGGGAGAATGGCGTGAACCCGGGAGGCGGAGCTTGCCGTAAGCCGAGACAGCGCTACTGCACTCCAGCCTGGGCGACAGAGCAAGACTCAGTCTCAAAAAAAAAAAAAAAAAAAAAAAAAAAAATAGAAACGAAACAGCAGTCGGAGTTATTGTCCTCCTGAGTATCTCTGCTTTTTGTGAAGTGATGTTTGGACAGTAATCTGTCCTGGACAGTCCTCCATAATCAAGCCCAGTTGTATTCCTTTATGGAATATATTCACCAAAACAATGTATATACTTAAAATGTATTATTTCTCTTACACTTGAACTTAAAATAATTAGTATAATATTGGAAAGGAAAAATAAATAAAATATTTTAGAACTATTTTCCTTATATAATAAATGCTTTCAAGTTGAAATAATTTAGTTGTAAAAGATTTAGTTTGGCATACATTAGGAAAAGTAGAAAGATATTAGTTTTTAATTATCTAAATTAGCATTCTGTGATTCATTAAGCAAATACATTTTTTATCTCCTCTATTTCCAGTATGCAACAGTCACTCGAAATAAGTTTTAATATACAGAGAGACTATTTCGGTTTTATTTTTCCAATGTAAATATTATTATTAACAAATTAAGCATTCCAAAAGCTACTATAGCTAAACCTATTGTTTACTTGATGTAATTCTGTTTGGCTCTTATGGTTGAAGAATTGTAAATGGAAGTAGGATTTAAACATCAACTCCTAACTTCACTTGGCTGAGAAAGGAATTAAATTGGTCTGGAGTAATGCTGATAATCTGATATCTTTGACCTTTCCACATATCCTGCTTGGAAGGAGGAGGAAGAAATATTGGAACAGGTAATAGAAACTGGCATATTATGACATTTAGTGTCTAAGCGAAAAACTATATTTAAAAAGTTTGCTTGTAATTATAAGTAAAATAACTCATTATGATATCTCTTATTGTTTCCAAATAAATGAATGCTTTGTGTCCAACGTATCATCTGATTAGATTTGGTGACTTGTCTTGCTTTGTAAGTTGTAATACACTATACAAATAATAAGTAACACTCTTTGGCATTTTGCCATCACCACAGTTACCCTCTGCCCACCATACACAACAAGCCAAAATCAATTTATCTGCCAAGGAAGAACATCATAAACTTATAGCTCTATGCACCACAGATGTAGATACCCAATCAGATGAGGAAGAAGATGATGGAGTAGAGGACTAAATCTGAGCGAAAGTGAGCCCTAAAATAGGAAAGCCTATGTTGGTGAATGAGTCTGCCTCATGCATGGAATCTAGGGTTACAGATATCTGTTGGTTTTTTTGTCTATCCAGTAGCTGTCTTTCTTTCTTCTCATAATAGAACTCCTTTTCATTTTGAAAACTCATTTGGGGAGATTTGAAATTGTGTTATTATAAACATGGTGCCTTATGACAGCAATAAATATATAGGCCGGAACAACAGGCTATTCCATTTACTTTATCTTCCTAGCTAAAAATAATTGGCTCAGAAAAGGGCATATGACCCAAGCTAAGCCAGCAGAGTCTTCTGTATAACTTTACTGCTGTACTTCTCAGAAAGATGGTCTCTTTTTATTGAGATTTGAAACTGGCAGAATGTGTGTTTGGGTTTGGATGTGACCATCTTTCCAGTGATAGGGAGAGCAATTCTATCTGGACGCTCCCCGAACATGGTATTATAAATATTTTCTGAACCCTTAAGAAGTTCAAATAATATCTGTCACTAAGGAAGCTATGCTTTGCCAATGCTTTTTGTCTCTTTCTCTGATAAATGATTAATGAATATCATTAATTATTTGATGAAATGTAAAATGAGATTATCTCAGCTCAATTTTTTTCATATTTAGTAAATTCTAGTAAACCAATTATTTGAGCAAAATTTCCCTACTATAGTAAAAGGAGCTTCAATCAATTTCTTCAAAGATATAGAAACATAGAACACCAGCATATTACCAGGATACTTTTCCAAGAATTTCGCTTTCGTATTAACATATATATTTGAAAGACTAATATCTGAATTAATGAGCAAAAATAGATACCACATCTTTTATATGGTATTGAATAAGTTATTACTCTAGTTTTCAGCTTCTTAATTATAAATTTCAGATTATGATTGTTTTGACCTCATTCAAATATTAAAGAAAATGATATATATAAGGTGGTTAGCATCCTGTCTAAGGTATAAAGTACTCAATAAACATTACACTATATAATCTCTTATTCCCTCTTCTTCTTCCCTTTATAAGCCAGCACCATCATTTTCAAGAAAAATATTGCATTTATAGACCATGAAGTATAAAATAGCATCAAGTCTGTCACATGCATTTGCTTGAGCATCATTGTACTTATTCACCATTTTCCCCACTATATTTTCTATGACATTCTTGAAACTATCAGTTTGGGAAGGACACTTCTGGGAACATACGGGAGAAAGAAGATTGAGAAGCTGATTTTTCTCATGCATCATAACACAATGGAAAATTTTCTTACGAATAGTGATGTTGATGGCAGAGGACACAAAGCTCAGCTGACTATACACTCTAATCTTAAATAGTTTAGGGTACTCTAAGCTACCAAATTCAAGAAGACTAGGGTTTACATAAAAGAAGTGGTGTATGTATGTGTGTGTGAGCGTGTGTGTGTGTGTGTGTGTGTGTGTGTGTGTAGTTTGTTGGAATGGGAAAGTAATCCAAACAGAATTATTTTAAGTATTGCAGATTTTATAATGTTACCTCTTTAACATTGGATAACGTCTTATGACAGCATTGCAATGACCAGTGCCTGTTTTAAATCTATCTTTATGCCAGGTATTGTGAAAATGAGCACTGACAATAGAAGAGTTGCAAAATAATTCTGCAATATTGACTCAGAGTATCACAAATCCAAAGGTACAGGGTAAGGAAATTAAAAACCTAAGAACAGGTACAGTGTTATGGAGTATGCATGGTTTTTAATTTTGTATTTTTTATTTTACTACTTAACTACTAATAACTTGACCTTTCTGCTTCCTCGTCTTATACGCAGCTTCTTCTTTTCTTTCTTTCTTTTTTTCTTCTTTCATCTCTTCAAACTTCACTCTTCTTTTTTTCTCCTACCTAATTAATTACTATCATGTTTATTCCATAGTTTAAACTTTCTAGAAAAAAAATTAGGGAACCAGGTAAATTGTATCGTTTAAAGTAAAAACACACTGCATAGACTGAAATTCTACATAGTTTATTTGTTTTACTTTAGTTTTAAATTTTATTTATAGATTGTGTAAAATTGATCATGAATAACAAAAATGTATATGTGAAAATAAATATGATAGCTTATATCCTATAACTCAGTTGCTCAATTGGCACATTAGATTAAGAAAATAATAGTGGAAATGTCACTCACTCATAATCCATTTATGAGAAAAAAGAAACAAAATTTTATTTCTTAGACATTTGGTGGAAATCAATTGTGTGTGTGTGCATGTGTGTGTGTGCGTTGACTGAAGAGAGAGATTTATTTTAATAAGTTGAAACAGATGATTACACGATACACTTCAAGCTGGCACACTGAGACTAAGGGGAGAGTTGATGTTGCAGTCTAGACTCTATAAAGACCATCTGGAAGAAATATTTCTTCTTCCTTGAGAATTTCCTCATTTTTTTTTTTATTAAGGCATTCAACTGATTGGATGAAACCCACCCATCTTGTAAAGGTTGATTTTCTCTACTCAAAGTCTAGTGATTTAAATGCAAATCACATCTACCAAAATACCCTCACAGCAAAATCCATCCTGGAGCTTGACCAAACATCTGTGTACCACAGCCTAGCCTAGTTGACTCATAAATTAAAGTAGCACAAATTCAACCCTTCCCCATCTGGCACCCATACACATATCTTTAAACCATACTTAATCTTCAAAAAAGAAAAAAGATAACAACAAGTTCATACTTCCATCTAACATGATAATATGATATATTTATTTGAAAATACACTAACCCTTTCCCCAGAAGAAGACACAGAGATCTCGGGGGATGTCGACTCTTCTTGATATCTTGTAACATATATACTATAATTCTAAGTTCCCAATACTTAAATACCATGATATAAAATCGATACATTTTGTGTTATATGTTGAGAGTAAGAAGGGGCAGAAAATAAACAAATTTGACATGCAGGCATATTCAAACAAAATAAAAAAGAAATACTCATAACAGCCCTTAGTTCTGTAATTTGTCGTGTGCTCATAGCTGACATTTATACTGACCTTCTTTCACTCCCCACTCTGTATTTCCTTTACCCTTAAGAAGCCCCCCACTTAGTCATGGTTCCTTACCTGTAGAGGTAACCCAAATCTTCATTCTTGAAGGATATGGGCCATTAGTATTATTGCTTGAACTAGGTTGTTGTAGTTTTCCATTAACTTTCTTCAAAGGGCATGGGAATAATAAGAAAAACAGTAATTAATATCCTGTATTCTAAACATTCTCTTCCTTACCTTTGTTGAGGAGAACTGGACCAGTTTCCCTTTGGTAGTCAGGATCAATCACCCCTGTTAGCACAGCAACTCCCTTCTTTGTCTGATGGTTCAGAGCCATAAGGAGCCAGTAGTGGTCAGGTGGCAGTCCTAACCTCCAGTTCAATGGAATCATTTTGTCTTCTGGGGAAACTCATTTTGAAAGTAAGAATTTTAGACTAGAGAGTAAGGTAGCAGGGACAGGAAGCAAATATTTTATTAAGGAATCACAGTAGGTAACAGTGAATACTGCTACTTCCACTCCACTGCCTGAATCCTGGACCTGTAAATCCTGCCTGTGGGAGAAGCAGTACAATATACTGCACACTGATTTAGGGGATATACAGCTCTTGGAAATTCTTGACTCATAAGTATTGGATTAGTAGCATCCAATGGTGATATTTTGCATATTTCTATTACCACATAACACCATAGACTGTCAGTGCTTTCTTTACGACTAAACATTGAGTTATTGGTGCCTTTAAATCTAATCAGATTAGAGAACCAATAAAGGATATTCAATTAGGAAAAGAGGAAGTCAAATTGTCCCTGTTTGCAGATGACATGATTGCATATCTAGAAAATCCCATCGTCTCAGCCCAAAATCTCCTTAGGCTGATAGGCAACTTCAGCAAAGTCTCAGGATACAAAATCAATATGCAAAAATCACAAGCATTCTTGTACACCAGTAACAGACAAACAGAGAGCCAAATCATGAGTGAACTTCCATTCACAATTGCTTCCAAGAGAATAAAATACCTAGGAATCCAACTTACAAGGGATGTGAAGGACCTCTTCAAGGAGAACTACAAACCACTGCTCAATGAAATAAAAGAGGATACAAACAAATGGAAGAACATTCCATGCTCATGGATGGGAAGAATCAATATTGTGAAAATGGCCATATGGCCCAAGGTAATTTATAGATTCAATGCCATCCCCATTAAGCTACCAATGACTTTCTTCACGGAATTGGAAAAAACTACTTTAAAGTTCATATGGAATCAAAAAAGAGCCTGCCTTGCCAAGTCAATCCTAAGCCAAAAGAACAAAGCTGGAGGAATCATGCTACCTGACTTCAAACTATAATACAAGGCTACAGTAACCAAAACAGCATGCTACTGGTACCAAAACAGAGATATAGACCAATGGGACAGAACAGAGCCCTCAGAAATAATGCCACATATCCACAACTATCTGATCTTTGACAAACCTGACAAAAACAAGCAATGGGGAAAGGATTCCCTATTTAATAAATGGTGCTGGGAAAACTGGCTAGCCATATGTAGAAAGCTGAAACTGGATCCCTTCCTTATACCTTATACAAAAATTAATTCAGAAACTGGATCCCTTCCTTACACCTTATACAAAAATTAATTCAAGATGGATTAAAAACTTAAATGTTAGACCTCAAACCATAAAAGCCCTAGAAGGAAAACTAGGCAATACCATTCAGGACATAGGCATGGGCAAGGACTTCATGTCTAAAACACCAAAAGCAATGGCAACAAAAGCCAAAATTGACAAATGGGATCTAATTAAACTAAAGAGCTTCTGCACAGCAAAAGAAACTACCATCAGAGTGAACAGGCAACCTATAAAATGGGAGAAAATTTTTGCAATCTACTCATCTGACAAAGGGCTAATATCCAGAATCTACAATGAACTCAAACAAATTTACAGGAAAAAAACAAACAACCCCATCAAAAAGTGGGCAAAGGATATGAACAGACACTTCTCAAAAGAAGACATTTATGCAGCCAAAAGACACATGAAAAAATGCTCATCATCACTGGCCATCAGAGAAATGCAAATCAAAACCACAATGAGATACCATCTCACACCAGTTAGAATGGCAATCATTAAAAAGTCAGGAAACAATGGGTGCTGGAGAAGATGTGGAGAAAGAGGAACACTTTTACACTGTTGGTGGGACTGTAAACTAGTTCAACCACTGTGGAAGTCAGTGTGGCAATTCCTCAGGGATCTAGAACTAGAAATACCATTTGACCCAGCCATCCCATTACTGGGTATATACCCAAAGGATTATAAATCATGCTGCTATAAAGACACATGCACACGTATGTTTATTGCGGCACTGTTCACAATAGCAAAGACTTGGAACCAACCCAAATGTCCAACAATGATAGACTGGATTAAGAAAATGTGGCACATATACACCATGGAATACTATGCAGCCTTAAAAAATGATGAATTCATGTCCTTTGTAGGGACATGGATGAAGCTGGAAACCATCATTCTCAGCAAACTATCGCAAGGACAAAAAACCAAACACCGCATGTTCTCACTCATAGGTGGGAATTAAACAATGAGAACACATGGACACAGGCAGGGGAACATCACACACCGGGGCCTGTTGTGGGGTTGGGTGGGGGAGGGATACCATTAGGAGATATACCTAATGTTAAATGACCAGTTAATGGGTGCAGCCCACCAACATGGCACATGTATACATATGTAACAAACCTGCACGTTGTGCACATGTACCATAAAACTTAAAGTATAATAATAATAAAAAAGAAACCCCACAACAAATTCAGAAAACTCATCCTTAAGATTCTGATTCTCTAAAACTACTCTTGCTACAAAAGTCTGTTAGTCAGGGTTCTCCAGAAAAACAGAACCAATAATCATGTGTGTGTGCGTGTGTGTGTGTGTGTTAGTACACAAAGTGAGACAAAGATTTATTCATGTTAACTAATTGGCTCATAGTTTGATCTAATAATGGATGATCTAGTGTACCAGAAAAAGAGCCAGAGAAAGACTACTTTTGAACCTTGTTTCAAGGTGTCTTGTCTGCTAATTTTAACTAGCAATACAGCAATTAAATTATAAGAATTAATCCTTGGGTTCATATGTCTCAAGGATTCATCTAGTCAATAAGAATTGGAAATAACTGGAAAGCTAAAAATCTCAAACTCAGTTTCCATAGACACCTTTCAGATGGTCCATGTAGCTTTACTGCTTACTTGAATTCTTAGAGAAAGTGTCCACTCAACAAGGCCAGGACAAAATTTTATATATGTTACAATTTCATTTATCTAAATCTTGTTTGCTTTCCTTTTGGCTGGACATTTTATCTTTACTGGTTGCAGTTTACATATAGTTGACTTAGTCTATCATCTCCATTTGCCAATAATAAAGTTTTGTTTATTTCAAGACTTCCTAGAGGAAATAATTACCATACATTTGGTATTGAGTTTTTCCAGTTATTAATGCAGCCAATTTGCAAGTTTGTCAAATATGTCATCCCTTGCCAAATCCTGGGAAAATGCACATAATTGTTGTACCTGAAATTAATGCTACTAAACTGAATTTTGATCATTGATATTCTAATAAATAGCCTTATCTAATATCAGAAATTATATCTATTAATAGACATTTAGAAGAGCATTGATATAACTAAGGTAACTTTTATAATCATATTCAAAATGATCATGTGCATTGTTCCATTCTCCACTGATACTTCTCATATATCATTTGTATATCCATGTTCTTTTTAGTAATAATTCAAATCAAATAAAACTAAAAATGAGTGAACATTTAAAACCATAGGTTATTTCAATAATTGGAAAATATCTATATTTCTAGTGTACTAAAATTCATTTTTTACTACAGCCCCCAAAGATAATATACAGTTCCATTAAGTTTTATGGATCGCTTCTCCTATGGCTTTGTTTTATTTTCCTACTCAGGAATCAGATTCTTCTATGTTTACCACAGCCTAATTTTTCAGTGGGGATATTGGTCAGACAGCTCCAAGCTTATAAAATACTCACAATAAATATTTACTCTTTAAAAAGCAGATGAAGGAACAATACTTTTCCTACAGGTATATATACTAACTAATGTAAATATGATTTTTAAGTATTTTAATACCACCAACATGATTTGGAGTAATTTGGCTGGCATAAAAAATGTCTCTTATTTTATCTGACATAAAACACTATACATCCTGAACCCTGGAAACACAATAAGTTTTTTAGCCTAATAAGTTACAGATAATGAATTAACTTTAAATTTTCTTTTGGCACACTGGGAAGGTGGGGCTTTGCATCACTGTTCATTAACACTGTATGTTATACCCATATTAACGCAATAGTTATATTGTAACAATTTATATCTAAGCTCAAAGAAAAGGCAAGTTGTCTATGTAGATGTACTTTGGAAGACTTTGGGACTTCTTTACTTATTCAGGCCTGGGAAATTTTTGCCATGTTGCAAGAATATTGCCCAGTGCTTTCTTATTATCCTTCTAGTAATAATTGTTTGTCTCACATTAGTTCAATGTCTATGAATCAGAATTCTAAGGTTTACCACAGAGTCATATCCTGACTGTAAAAAAAAAATTAAAAGATAACAGATAGACTGTAATATTTCTGATGAACTCTCAAACACAAAGTTGGATCCTTGCACATAAAACCTTATTGTAAAGGAGGCATGACATTGGTGAAAGTCTTTACAACCCTTGATGTTATTCTTGCGGCTTATGTTAATTGAAAAGCAAAAAAGGATCTGATAATTTTAAAATCGTAGTTCTAACACTCAAAGAAAAAAACAATTATTTTGTAGCTATGGTAACAAGTATCACCAGACTGCTTTTAACTTCATGGAATTGATCAACTAAAACTAGTCTCAGTAAAAACGCTTTGCAAGCCAAACAATCAGTATCAACTTCTCATTTCTGAATGTCAGCCAATCAGGAACATACCCACTCCAGTGCACATACTTCTGAGTGTTAATCAGTTAGCAGCAGGTCTCACACAAGTAACCATAGTTTTATAGATGATGTCAATCCATTTACATCTTTAAAAGTTGGCCAACCCTTATACTTTTATTAATTCCAAAGTAATATGAGCAGTCTGTTCGGCTTGGAGAGACTATACCTGATCATCCCGGCTGTCTCTTAAAAGTAAGTTCGAATTTTATATTTTAATTTTACTTTTTTTATAAAGTAAAATGATTTAATTATTCTTTGAAATTAGGAAAAAAAAACTGGGTATTGTGTACCCAAATATGCACCCAGGATCCTTTATCCAAGACAAATAACTTTTTTAGTAGTTTCTTTATTACTAAAACGGTGTTGAATGAGATATTGAGATATTTTTTAAGTTTTATTAGCATTCAACATTCTGAATGCTTACACATGCATATGCCATTGAGTTTCATTGTAATGAATAATTTAAGAATCAGTAAAGTTGTATAATTTGCATATTATATAAATTCTTAGATGAGTCATGTTTGTAGTTCAATTTACAGATTGATATTAAAGGAAAGGGGCAAGCATGAAGGAGAGAATATTGATTGACTACATTTATGAAAATTATTCTGGTAAGCATTTAATTTCCAAATTATTTAATAGCTTACTTTCAGGAAATACAAGGTGATACTATCATACAAATAATCTCACAAGCATTATAAAAGGAATCTGAAAACTTTATTTGCATGATACAATCTCTTTTGATATATCAGATAACTTGCAAGAGAGCTAAAGTAGTTCATTATACTGATTTGAATCTAAGTCTCCACCTTGGTGAAATGAAATGAAAATACTTAAAAGTTAATTGGAGATTGAATGGGAATACATATTTGCCTACACATGAAATACCTACTTTTTACATTCTCAAGATGTGTATATATACATTTAATTTTATCTTTTTAGTTTATTTGCTTTTATACATTCTTTACATAGATCATTCATCCAAATGCCATGTTTATTTATTCACTTTATTATATGCTTACACAAATAGAGTGTGTTTGATGAAGCAACTTCATTGAAATAAATTATCCCTAAAATGTGTATCCCACGTATCTCTCTCAGGACATGGTTGGCAGTTTGGTTTAGCCAAATAAGACTTTCTGTTTTATTTTAAAGAACAATATGATATCCCAACATTCAGATCATTTTATTTTCTCTCATTCAACTCTAAATAATGTAACAATATTATTTAGCTTTTAAATTGAAGAGAAGTAGATGCTAACCATAATGATCAACTACTATATACTAACAAGTATTGAATATTATCATTCAAATATAATTTATCTTAATTTTGGTAGATTAAATGAACATTAAGTTTGTCTTCCAAAAACATTTAAAAAATTAGACTCTCCCTTCTTAAAGAATTAGAAATATCAAGACAAACAAGAAAGGAAAGACACAGAAAATTTGAACATAAGAGCAACTGGCACTGAATCTACTGCTCACTTGCTGACCTGTGGAACTATTGCTTTGCCTTTATAATATATCCAATTTTTTATATCATCACATATGGGAGAATTTCTCCCCTAAAACCTGAAAGAAGCTAATGTATAGAGATATTTATTATTTTACTTTCAAACTATACAATTTTATGGAGCTAACCAAAGGAGTAAACACAAGAAAATTTCATAAACTGATTTGTGACAGAAGAATCCTTAAAAATGCGGTAGCTTCTGGAGGAAAATGATGCACCTGGTTATTGGCAGGTAAAATCAAAGGACAAACCAACATTAAGACACATTACTGGGTTTAAAAAAAAAAGTTAAACTAAGCTATTAATGCTGGTACAAAAAGATAAGTTGTTTTATATCTGTAACTGCAAATTATTTATCAAAATAATTGTATTAGAATAATATTTCCCCCTTCCTTTCTTTCCTATACTTTGCTAAGGAAATAATATAAAACATGTACGTAGAAAGCAGGAAGAACTTGAGCACTGTTTTCTTCCTGTGGCGCCTAGAACCACTGAATCCCAAGTGACATTGTGGCCAAATCCCTTCCAAGCTTCAAGCTCAAACATACATGAAATCACTAAACAGTCTTTGACAACAGTGATACCATGGGAGACCTGGAGTTGAATTAACCAGAGATGAGTTCATCAGCAGCTTCTGAGACCCAAATCACCTCAATAGTGGGTGATATCTAAACAATTGCCTGCTTGATTTAGTCACCGGAAATACAATAGAGCTCACATTCTCAGGGGTGTGGGAGAAGGGGATATAATCAAACAAAAAATATAATAGTATATCTCAATTTCAGATAGAAAGATAAATATAATGGACATATCAGTACCAAATATTAGACATTTAAAGTAGCAAGACATTTAGAAAGCAATGAAATGACAGCTACGTAAAGAAAAAAAATCTGCATAAACAAACACACAGACTAACCTTTTTATTGAAAGTGGCAAAGACATATTTAAAATAACAATTATACATGTATTCAGACATCTAGAGATAAAGTAGAAAGAATGAAGAGATAGCAATCCCAAACAACCACGTAGAAAAGACAAAAACTACAAATACAAAGAAAGTTATGGATATAGTAGTAGCAAGCATCACTGAACTTAAAAAGAGATCAATATAAATTATCCAAAACAGAAAACAGCACAAAGAGATAGAAGGGAGTTAAAATTTAATAACCCAACACAGTATTAGTAATGAAATATCACACAATCTTTTATATCTATAATAAACATAATTGTCTAAAAGGAGGTAAAAGGAATAAAGAGGAAGAAACCGTTTTTTATAATGGTGGCCTGACATTTTCAGATGTTAAAGAACACTATCAATTTATGAAGTTCAAAAAACCAAAAGTGCAATGGATGTATAGAAAATCAGATTTGACACATAATAGTAAATCTATTGGAATAAATCTAGTTTAAACAATTTTAAAGTAATTTAAAGGAGAAAAACTGATACATTACATACAGTAAGGTAGGAATAAATATAACAATTTATTTCTTAAAAGAAGTCATTCAATCCAAAAAATAGAAGAAAAAGTAAATACCACTTTTGAAATGCTGAAAGAAAAAAAACTCTCAAATTTGGGTTCAGTACTCAGCAAAGTCATTCTTTAAAATGAAATGAAGATAGTTTCAGGTAAATTGTAACAGTATTTGTTACTGTTAGATCTCGATTCCTATATGCATGCATGTGTGTGTGTGTGTGTGTGTTTGTGTGTGTGAATATATATATATATCCGAAATTCTCCAAGCTGAAGAGAAAATATATCAGTTGGAAATTTAGATCTACAGAAATTATTAAAGATCGTTATAAATGGGTAGATATACTAAACTGTCTTTTGCTTTCTCTAATTTTATCGAAATATATTGAAGTGTTCAAAGACAAAACAATTGCATTGTACGTGGTATTTAAATCATATATAGGAGTAACAATATTTAAAAAATGAAAATATGGTAAATAAAATAATACTGTTATAGTTCATATTTTGCATGAAGTGGTAGAATAATAATACAAAAACTTTAATAAATTAAGGATACATATTAAAATATTTAAACAAAATATAAAGAAGAACACAAAAATCCAATACCAGAACTAATGTACAATGCTGAAAAGTAATACTTTTTTAAAAAACTAAAAATAAAAACCAAATAAAGAATAGAGGCATTTTTTTAAAAGAAGAAAAAGATGATTCAAACCTAATTATATCAATATTATGTAAATATAAAAGGGCTAAATATTTCAATTACCAAGACGGCCAGGTGCAGTGGTTTGTGCTTGTAGTCTCAGCACTTTGTGAGGCCAAGATGGGGGCATCGCTTGAGCCCACAATTTCGAGACAACCCTGGGCAATATAGTGAGACCCCATCTGTAACAAAAAAAAAAAAAAAGAGAGATTTGTCAAAATGTATTTAATTAAAACATGTCCCAATTAGGCACTGTTTCCAAGAGATGCAATGCATATAAAAGCACAAATTTATTAACATTAAAACAATGTAGATATATATAAAACATTAAAATAATAAAGAAATGTATAGATGTAAGCATTCATCATAAAAATGCTGCTGTGATTTAATGACGATAAAAGAGTCAATTCATGAAGAACAAATAGTAACCCTAAATGTGTTGGCACATAATAAAAGTTTTAAAATATGTGAAGCAAATTTTCAGAAGTAAAGGGAAAAATAAACCAACTAACAATAATAGTTGAAGACTTTACTATTACTTTCTTAGTTATTGATGAAAATAAATGGACAAAATTAAATAAGGAAAGAGCATATATGAAAACAAACACTATTAAATATCTTTATCTAACAGATTATGCAAAAGTACAATAAATAGATAATAACATTACTTTTATATATGTATTATAAATTCAACAAGATAGACTACGTGATGGAGTATAACACATTATAGCAGTTTCTAATTACTAAAATTATACAGAGCATATTACCTTACAAAAACAGAACTAAAAATAAAAAATGGAGTTCTAAAAATTTTAAATATTTAGAAAATATTTAAAATGTTTTTAAATTATACATAAATCAAAGAAATATTCAGAAAGTCATTAAAATTTTGAACTGAAAAACTATGTGACTTAGCTAAAGCAGTTCTAAATAATAAATTTATATGTTTAGTATTCATATTAGAAAAATAGAAAAATCTAATACATCAGTTCTAAGCTTGAGAAGTTGAAAAATGAGAGAAAAGCATGTCAAAGGGGGTAGAAAAGAAATATTCAGAGGAAATGAATTAGAAAATATTCCAAAAAGCCAAAAATTGTTTTTTTAATAAAAAAATATTTTTTTATTTTATTTCTCTTTTACTTTTTTTATCTTGACTGATTTATTTAGGACTTCTAGTATTGTATTGAATAGGAGCAGTGAAACTGAGCATCTTTATCTTGTTCATGTTTTTAAGAGGAATGCTTTCAGCTTTTTTTCATTCAGAATGGTTTTGGTTGTGGGTTTGTCATAGATGGCTCTATTTTGAGATATATTCATTCAATGCTTAGTTTGTTGAAGATTTTTATCATAAATGGAATTTGGATTTTATTGAAAGCCTTTTCTGTGTCTACTGAGACGATCACATGGTTTTTGTTTTTAATTCTGTTTATGTGGTGAATCATATTTATTTGTTTGTGTATGTTGAACCAACCCTGAATCCCAGGAATAAAACCTACTTGTTCATAGTGAATTAAATTTTTCATGTGCTGCTGGATTCAGTTTGCTATCATTTTGTTGAGAATTTTCACATCTTTGTTCATCAGAGATATTAGTCTGTAGTTTATTTTTTTAATTGTGTCTGTCAGATTTTGGTATCACGGTGATGTTGGCTTCATGAGATTAGCTGGAAAGGAGTCTTACCTCTTGGATTTTGGGGAACAGTTTTAATAGAATTAGTATCAGATCTTTTTTGCACATTTGGTAGAATTTGGTTGTGAATCCTTCTGGTCCAAGGTTACAAAATACTGCTGAAAGAAATCAGGGACGACACAAACAAGTAAAAAAATATGCCATGCTCATGGATTGGCATTGTTAAAATAACCATACTGCCCAAAGCAATCTACAGATTCAACACTATTTCCCTCAAACTACCAATGTCATTTTTCACATCACTAGAAAAAAAAACAAAAATTCATATGAAACAAAAGAGAACCTGAATAGCCAAGGCAATCCTAAACAAAAATAACAAAGTTTAAAGCATCACATTACCCAATTTCAAACTATACTACAATGCTCCAGTAACCAAAACAGCACAGTACTGGAACAAAAACAGGCACCTAGACCAGTAGAATAGAAGAGAGGTCCCAGAAATAAAGTGACACACCTAACAGACATCTTATCTAAGCCATAAGGAAAGGACTGCCTCTTCAATAAATAGAGCTGGGATAACTGGCTAGCCATATGTAGGAGAATGAAACTGAACTCTTACCTTTTCCCATATACTAAAAGTAACTTAAGATGGAATAAAGATTTAACTGTAAGACCTCAAACTATAAGAATCATAGAAAAAAAAATGAAGAAATGTCATGTGGACATGGGCCTTGGGAAAGAATTTATGAACAAGTCTTCAAAAGCAATTGCAACAAAAACAAAAATTAACAAATGGGACCTAATTAAACTAAGGAGAGTCTGTGCAGCAAAATAAACTATTAATAAATTAAAAAGCCACCATATAGAGTGGGAGAAAATATTTTCAAATGATGCATCCAACAAAGATCTAATATCCAGGAATCCCACAAGGTTATCAGAAAAATTCTCTTATGATGAGTCAGAAAACCAATCATGTTCTTTGAAGCAGTTTGGAAGAAGTAATCTTTTTAAAGATGTAACAAAGGCCTACTAAATAAAAGAGAAGAGTTTACCAGCATCTTAGCCTACATGGGGGTAGGGAAGTAATCAAACTTTAGATACTGCTAGCTTTACTGTATCATACAAAATGGGATTCTCTAATAAATACTTGTGAATGTCATAGCTGAAAAATGAATCCTTAATAAAAAAAACTGAGACTGAATCATAGCATTATAGAACACTTCCTTTCTCTCACAGTTTGACATAACATCAGCAGGGCATAAGTATATTAACAATAGATTATAGCTAAAAAACTGCAAGTGTCAGACTCTCTTTAAAAATTATTGTTTAGAGAAATCTAGACAAAAGGGCACATGCAAAAAAACAAGCAAACCCAAAAACCTAGAAGAAAATCAAAGACTTGCCTTTCTTCTTTGATTGGGCTGTGTTTAGTGCAGCTACAGCAAGCAATAAACACAGCCCAATTCCTAGTTCAGAATAACATAAAACATCACAGCAAAGGTCTATTTCCCATAGTTCCCATTAGGTGATACATGATATACAGCTTTTTAAAAATGCAAAGCATAATAAAAGCCAAGAAATACAACAGCCTGAAGAGACAAAGCATGCATCAAAACCAGACTCAGACATGGCAGAGTTTGCAATTATCAGACTGGGAATTTTCCATAACTATGAATGGTATCTTAAGAATTCTGTTGAAAAAGCCAAAATGCAGTAACAAAGGGGCAATGTAAGTACAGAGATTTTTAAAAATCTAAAAAATATTGAAAATTTTCTATCTATTGAAAACTCTGTAATACAAATAAAGAACATCCTTAATGGACTCATCACTGGACTGGACATGCCAAAGGATAAAATCAGTGAGCTTAAATGTGTATCAATAAAAGTTTCATAAAGTGACATGCAAAGAGAAAAATAAAACAAAACAAAAGAGAATATCAAAGACCTATGGAACAATTTCAGATGCAACATATGTATTATGGGAATACCAGAAGAAGAAAGAGATAGGAAAGAGAGAAAATATCTGAAGTAATAATTTCTGAGAATATTTCATATATTAATGGCAGACATCAAACCATAGATTCGGGAACACACAGTGATTGCCAAGCAGGTTAAAAAAAACAAAACAAAATAAACAAAAATAAACAAATTCACATGTCAGCATATTATATTCAAACCAAATAATACCAAAGATAAAATAAAAATCAGGAAATCAGCCATGTAAAAAGACAAACATCTAATCTGTGGAGGAACAAGTATAACAACTACATTGACCATCTTATCAGGAACCATGCAAAAACAATACAAGAGTCAAATGGTTTCTCATAGTAGTTTTGATTTACATTTTCCTCATGACTAATAATGTGAAGCATCTTTTCATATACCTGTTGGCCACTTTAATGTCTTCTTTGAAGAAATATCTATTTATGTTTCTTCCCCATTTAAAAAATTGAGCTATATGTTTTACTCTATAGAGTTGTATATCTTTATACATTTTTGATATTAACTCTTATTAAGCATATAGTTTACACAGCTGTTTTCCTATCCATATATTGCCTTTTCATTTTCTTGTTTTCTGTGCTGTACAGAAGCATAGTTTGATGTAGTCTAATTCATTTATTTTTGCTTTGTAGCTGGAGCTTTTCATGCTATATCCAATAAATCGTTGCAAGGCCAATGTCAAAACGTTTTTTTCTGTGTGTTGGTTTTTTTTTGGACTTTGGTGGTTTCAAAGATCCATGATGATAGCTATCATCAAAAAGACAAATATTGGTGGGAGTGTGAAGAAAGGGAACCCTTGTGTACTTTAGATGGGAATGCACATTGGTGCCACCATGATGGAAAACAATATGGAGATTTCTAAAGAAATAAAAAGTAGAATTACTTTATGACATATAAATCCTTCTTCTTGGTATATACCCAAAGAAAATCAAATCAAATCACCACCTCATAAAGATATTTGCACTGGGGAGAGGCCAAAATGGCCAAATAGAAACAGTTCTGCAGCTCCCAGCGAGACCAATGCAGAAGGTGGGTGATTTCTGCATTTCCAACTGAGGTACCCAGTTCATCTCATTGGGACTGGTTAGGTAGTGGGTGCAACCCATGGAGGGCGTGTCGAAGCAAGGTGTGGTGTTGCTTCACCCAGGCAATGAAAGGAGCTGGGTGACCTCCCTCCCCCAGCCAAGGGAAATGGTGAGGGACTGTGCTATCTGCCCCAGGTACTAGGCTTTTCCCACAGATTTTTGCAATCCACAGAATAGGAGATTCCCTTATGAGCCTACACCACCAGGGCCCTGGGTTTCAAGCACAAAACTGGGCGGCTGTTTGGGCAGGAAATGAACTAGCTGCATAGTTTTTTTCATACCCCAGCAGCACCTGGAACACCAGCCAGATGGGAGAACCATCCACTCTGCTAAAAAGGGGGCTGAAGCCAGGGAGCCAAGTGTTCTCACTCAGCAGGTTCCACTCCCACAGAGCCCAGCAAGCTAAGAAACACTGGTTTGAAATTCTCACTTCCAGCACTGCAGTCTGGAGTCCACCTGGGATGATAAAGCTTGGTGGGGGGAGGGGCATCCACCATTACTGAGGCTTTAGTAGGTGGTTTTCCCTTGATGGTGCTAAGGAGATGGGGAGGTTTGTACTGCGTGGAATTCACCACAATATGGCAGACTGGCTGTGGCCAGACTGGTTCTCTAGATTCCTCCTCACAGGATAGGGCGTCTCTGAAGGAAATGCAGCAGCCCCAGTCAGGAGTTTATGGATAAAATTCCAATCTCCCTGGGACAGAGGCCCTGGGGGAAGGGGCAACTGTGGGCGCAGCTTTAATGGAATTAAACTTTCCTGCCTGATGGCTCTGAAGAGAGGAGCTGATCCTGACAAGGAGGGTTGTTCCAGCATAGTACACCAGATCTGCTAAGGGACAGACTGCCTTGTCAAGTTAGTCTCTGACCCCCGTGCCCTCTGACTTGGAGAGACCTCAGAACAGGGGTCAACAGACACCTCATACAGGAGAGCTCTGGCTAGCATCAGGGCGGTGCCCTTTTGGGATAAATCTTCCAGAGGAAGGAGGAGGAAGCAATCTTTGCTGTTTTGCTGCCTCCACTGATAACACCCAGGTGAACAGGGTGTGGAGTGGACCTCCAGCAAACTGCAGTAGACCCACAGAAGAGGGGCCTCACTGTTAGAAAAATAACTAACAAACAGAAAGCAACAACAGCAAAAGGCTCCCACACAAAAACCTCATCCAAAGGTCATCAGCCTCAGAGAATAAAGGTAGATAAATCCATGAAGATGAGGAAAAAACAGCGCAAAAATGCTGAAAATTTCAAAAGCCAGAATGCCTCTTTTCCTCCAAATGATCGCAACACCTTTCCAGCAAGGGCACAAAACTGAACAGAAAATGAAATTGATGAATTGACGGAAGTAGGCTTCAGAAGGCAGGTAATAACAAACTCCTCGGAGCAAAAGAAACATGTTCTAACCCAATACAAGGAAGCTAAGAACCTTGATAAAAGGTTACATGAACTGCTAACTAGAATAACCAGCTTAGAGAAGAACATAAATCACTTGATGGAGCTGAAACACACAGCATGAGAAGTTTATGAAGCATACACAAGTGTCACTGGTCAAATAGATCAAGCAGGAGAAAGGATATCAGAGATTGAAGACCACCTTGCTGAAATAAGGTGTGAAGACAAGATTAGGGGAAGAAAAATGAAAAGGAATGAATAAAGCCTCCTAGAAATATGGGATTATGTGAAAAGACCAAACCTATCATTGACTGGTGTACCTGAAAGTGACAGGGAGAATGGAACCAAGTTGGAAAGCACACTTCAAGATATTATCCAGGAGAACTTCCCCAACCTAGCAAGACAGGCCAACATTCAAATTCAAGAAATACAGAGAACACCAATAAAATACTCCATGAGAAGATCAACCCAAAGACACATAATCATCAGATTCTCCAAGGTTGAAATGCAGAAAAAAATGTTAAGGGCATCCAGAGGGAAAGGGCAGGTAACCTACAAGGGAAGCCCATCAGACTAACAGCAGGTATCTCAGCAGAAACTATACAAGACAGAAGAAAGTGTGGGCCAATATTCAACATTCTTAAGGAAAAGAATTTTTACCCAGAATTTCATATGCAGCCAAACTAAGCTTCATAAGCAACGGAGAAATAAAATCCTTTCCAGACAAGTAAATGCTGAGGGATTTTGTCACCACCAGGCCTGCCTTGCAAGAGCTCCTGAGGGAAGCACTATAAATATATATGTAAACAAAAAAACAGTACCAGCCACTGCAAAAACACACTGAAATGGAAAGACCATCAGTACTATGAAGAACCTGCATCAACTAATATGCAAAGTAACCAGCTAGCATCATAATGACAGGATCAAATTCACACATAACAATGTTAACCTTAAATGTAAATGGGCTAAATTCCCCAGTTAAAAGACACAGGCAAATTGGAAAAAGAGTCAAGACCCATCTCATGTGCAAAGACACACATAGGCCCAAAATAAAGGAATAGAGTGTTTCCCAAGCAAATGGGAGGAAAAAAAAGCAGGGGTTGCAATCCTAGTCTCTGATAAAACAGATTGTAAACCAACAAAGATCAAAAAAGACAAAGAAGGGCGTTACATAATGGGAAAGGGATCAATGCAACAAGAAGAGCTAACTATCCTAAATATATATGCACCCAGCAGGAGCACCTAGATTCATAAAACAAGTTTTTAGGGACCTACAAAGAGACTTAAGCGCCCACACAATAATAGTGGGAGTCTTTAACACTCCACTATCAACATTAGATCAATAAAACAGAAAATTAACAAAGATATTCAGGACTTGAACTCAGCTCTGGATCAAGAGGACCTAATAGACATCTACAGAACTCTCCACCCCAAATCAACAGAATATACATTCTTCTCAGTGCCACCTAGCATTTATTCAAAAATTGACCACATAATTGGAAGTAAAGCATTCCTCAGCAAATGCAAAAAAAAAATGGAAATCATAACAAACAGTTTCTTAAACCACAGTGCAATCAAATTAAAATTCAGGATTTAAAAACTCACTCAAAAGCGCACAACTACATGGAAATTGAACAACCTGCTCCTGAATGACTCCTGGGTAAATAACAAAAATAAGGCAGAAATCAAGAAGCTCTTTGAAAACAATAAAAACAAAGAGACAACATACCAGAATCTCTGGGACACAGGTACAGCACTGTTAAGAGGAAAATTTATGGCACTAAATATCCACATCTGAAAGCTGGAAAGATCTCAAATGGACACCCTAACATCACAATTAAAAGAACGACAGAAGCAAGAGAAAACAAATTCAAAATCTAGCAGAGGACAACAAATTACTAAGATAAGAGCAGAATTGAAGGATATAGAAACATGAAAAAACCTTAAAAAATAAATTAATTCATGAGCTGGTTTTTTGAAAAGATTAACAAACTAGACCACTAGCTAGACCAACAAAGAAGAAAAGAGAGAAGAATCAAATAGACACAATAAAAAATGATAGAGTGCCTATCACCCCTGATCCCACAGAAATACAAACTACCATCAGAGAATACTATAAACATCTCTACACAAATAAACTAGAAAATCTGGAAGAAATGGATAAATTTCTGGACACATAAACCCTCCCAACACTAGATCACGAAGTTGAAACCCTGAACAGACCAATAACAAATTCTAAAATTGAATCAGTAATTAATAGCCTACCAACCAAAAAACAGCCCAGGACCAGATGAATTCACAGCTGAATTCTACCAGAGGTACAAAGAGGAGCTGGTACCATCCATTTTGAAACTATTCCACAGAACTGAAAAAGAGAGACTCCTCCCTAACTCATTTTATGATACCAACATCATCCTGATACCAAAACCTGGCTGAAACACAACAAAAAAAGAAAACTTCAGGCCAATATCCCTGTTGATTGAAAATCATCAATAAAATACTGGCAAACTGAATCCAGCAGCACATCAAAAAGCTTATCCACCACAAACAAGTTGGCTTCATCCCTGGGATGCAAGGCTGGTTTGACATATGCTAATCAATAAACATAATTCATTACATGAACAGAAACAATGACAAAAACCACATGACTATCTCACTAGATCCTAAAAAAGTCTTTGAAAAAATTCAACATACCTTCAAGCAAAAAACTCTCAATAAAATAGGTATTGATGAAACATATCTCATAATAGCATAATAATAAAAGCTATTTACGACAAACCCATAGGCAGTATCATACTGAATGGGCAAAAGCTGGAAACAATCCCTTTGAAAACTGGTACAAGACAAGGGTGCCCTCTCTCACCACTCCTATTCAACATAGTATTGGAAGTTCTGACCAGGCCAATCAGGCAAGAGAAAGAAATAAAGGGTATTCACACAGGAAGGGATGAAGTTAAATTGTCTCTGATTGCAGATGACATGATTCTATACTAAGAAAACCCCATCATCTCAGCCCAAAAACTCCTTAAGCTGATTAGCAACTTCAGCAGTCTCAGGATACAAAATCAATGTGCAAAAATCACAAGCTTTCCTGTACATCAACAATAAAGAAGTAAAGATCCAAATTATGAATGAATTCCCACTCATAATTGCTACAAAGAAAATAAAATACCTAGGAATACAACTTACAAGGGATGTGAAGGACCTCTTCAAGAACTACAAACCACTGATCAAGAAAATAAGAGAGGACACAAACAAATGGAAAAACATTCCATGCTCATGGATAGGAAGAATCAATATTATGAAAATGGCCATACTGCCCAAAGTAATTTATAGATTTAATGCTATTCTCATCAAGCTACCATTGACTTTCTTCAAATAATTTGAAAAAAAAAACTACTTTAAATTTAGTATGGAACCAAAAAAGAGCCCATATATCCAAGACAATCCTAAGCAAAAAGAACAAGGCTGAAGGCATCATGCTACCTGACTCAAACTATACTACAAGGCTACAGTAACCAAAGCAGCATGGCATTAGTACCAAAACAGATATATAGACCAATGGAAAAGAACAGAAGGCTTAGAAATAACACCACATATCTACACCATCTGATCTTCAACAAATCTGACAAAAACAAGCAATGGGGAAAGGATTTTCTATTTAATAAGTGGTGCTGGAAAAATTGGCTAGCCATATATAAAAAGTAGAAACTGGACCCCTTCCTTACACCTTATACAAAAATTAATTCAAGATGGGTTACAGACTTAAATGCCAAACCCCATATCATGAAAACCCTAGGAGAAAACTTAGGAAATGCCATTCAGTGCATAGGCATAGGCAAAGACTTTATGACTAAAACACTAAAAACAATTTCAACAAAAGCCAAAATTGATAAATGGGATCTTGTCAACTTCTGCACAGCAAAATAAACTAGCATCAGAGTGAATAGGCAACCTACAGAATGAGAGAGCATTTTTGCAATCTATCCACCTGGCAAAGGTCTAACATCGAGAATCTACAAGGAACTTAAACACATTTACAAAAAAAAAAAAAAAAAGCACAACCCCATCAAAAAGTGGACAAAGGATATAAACAGACACTTCTCAAAAGAAGATATTTATTTGGACAACAAGCATGAAAAAAAGCTCATCACTGATCATTAGAGAAATGCAAATGTAAACCACAATGAGATACCATCTCATGCCAATCAGAATGGTGATTATTAAAAAGTCAGGAGACAATAGATTCTGGCGAGGCTGTGGAAAAATAGGAAGGATTTTACACTGTTGGTGGGAGTGCAAATTAGTTCAATCATTGTGGAAGACAGTGTGGCAATTCCTCAAGGATCTAGAAGCAGAAATACCATTTGACATAGCAATCCCATTACTGGGTATACACCCAAAGGATTATAAATCATTCTACTGTAAAGACACATGCACGTGTATCTTTATTGCAGCACTATTTACAATAGTAAAGACCTGGAACAAAACAAAATGCCCATCAATGACAGACTGAATAAAGAAGAGTGGCACATATAGACCATGGAACACAATGCAACCATAAAAAAAATGAGTTCATGTCATTTGTAGGGACATGGATGATGCTGCAAGCCATCATTCTCAGCAAACTTACACAGGAAGAGAAAACCAAACACTGCATGTTCTCATGCATAAGTGGGAGTTAAACAATGAGAACACATGGACACAGGGAGGGGTACATCATACACTGGGGCCTGTTGGGGGGTTGGGGACTAGGGGAGAGAGATCATTAGGGCAAATATTTAATGCACATAGGGATTAAAACCTAGATGATGGGTTGATAGGAACAGCAAACCACCATGGCACATGTATACCTACATAACAAACCTGCACATTCTGCACATGTATCCTGAAATTTAAAGTAAAATTTTAAAAAATTAAAACAAGAAAATATATGCACTGCCTTGTCCATTGTAACCTTATTCACAAAAACTAATGTATAGAAACAGTCTAAGTTTCCATCTATGAATAAGTGTATAAAGAAAATCTGCAATATTCCTACGTCTCACACACACACACACACACATACTCACACATTCAATGGAATTCTATTCCACCTTAAATATGAAGGAGATTCTGCCATTTTCCACAACATGCACAACATGGATGAGCCTGGAGGACATATGGTAAGTAAAATAAGCCTGATACAGAAAGAAAAATACTGTGTGATCTCGCTTACATAGGAAATATTAAAAATAGTCATATTTATAGAGATAGATAATAAAATAGTGGTTACTAGGGATGGGCTTGAGGTGGAAGAATTAAAGAGATGTAGGTCAAAATATACAAAGTAGAAGATTCTTAAGATAAACAAGTCTAAAATCTAATCTGAAGCCAGGTGCTTGTGACCAGTCTGGGCCACAGAGTGAGACCTCCTTCTCAATAAAAACAAACAAATTACTTTTTAAGAATATTTACAAAGAACATCTAATGTACAATATGAAGACTACAGTTAATAATATTGTATTATAGTCAAGATTTGGATAAATAAGTAGATTACAGTTGCTTTTGCCACAGGAAATAAAAATGGTTAACTGTATGAGATAATGAATATGTTAATTTGTTTTAGTATAATAACTATTTTGCTGTATATATGTATCTCATAAAATCATACACAATTTATTTTTGAAAAGACTGAGAGGAGTGAAATATCTAAAGTGTTGATTTAAATAATTATAAACAATTCTATTTTCAAAGAAACTATCTTTTAAAAATAATGGAAAAATAAAAGACTTGTCAAGTGAACAAATACTGAGGGAATTCATCATTCATCAGTAATCTTCCTACCAAGAAATGTTAAAAGAAATTCTTCAAGGAGAAGAAAAATGATATGTCAGAAACTGAGATCTATATAAAAAGAGGATGAGTGACAGAGAAGAAATAAATGAAGGTAAACTAGAATCCTTTATTGACCTAAAAATTATTTTTCAGAGTAATGATAGTAACTTTATATCGGGTCATTATAGAAAAAGATAAGTAAAACAAATGACAGCAACATAAGGATCAAGAGGAAGAAATTGTTAATAATCTGATGTAAGGTACAGGCATGACCCGCACACACATATAGTGCTATTTTAGGGTGGAGTTACATTTGTTGTGGAAGTTTCCTGAATTTAGAACAATTAATTTAAAAAACTAAGAAGAAAAGTGTTATAATGGTACTTTAAGAGAGAAGAAAAAAAAAGAATAAGACACTTCATTAAAACAAAAAAAAGAGGGAAAAGAATAGAAGTCAAAGTGAAATAAATAGTAGCAAGTGAAATGAATGGTAACAGTTACAAACCTGGTGGCTGCTAAAACAATTTTATTGATAGTAATTTTTTAAACTTTTATTTTAAGCTCGCGGGTACAACTGCAGGTTTGTTACATAGGTAAACTTGTGTCATGGGAGTTTGTTATACAGATTATTTCATTACCTAGATATCAAGCCTAGTACATATTTGCTGTTTTTCCTGATTCCCTCCTCTCACCCTCCACCCTCCAAAAGACCCCAGGGTGGGTTGTTCTCCTCTATAGATCCATGTGGTCTCATCATTTGTCTCCCACGTATAAGCGAGAACATGTGGTATTTGGTTTCTCTTACTGTGTTAATTTGCTAAGGATAATGTCCTTCTGCTCCATCCATGTCACTGCAAAGGATATGGTCTCTTTCTTTCTTACACCTGCATCATATTCCATGGTGTATATATACCACATTTCTTTATCCGATCTATCATCGATAGATATTTTGATTTCATGTCTTTGCTATTGTGAGTAGTGCTTAATGAACATACATGTACAGGTGTCTTTATAATAGAATAATTTTTATTCCTTTGGGTAATACCGAGTAATGGGATTGCTGGGCTGAATGGTATTTCTATCTTTAGGTTTCCAACGATGTGCCACACTGTCTTCCACAATGACTGAACTAATTTACACTCCCACAGTGTATAAGCATTCCTTTTTCTCCACAACCTCACCAGCATCTATTATTTTATAACTTTTTAATAATAGCCATTCTTTCTGGTGTTAGATGGTATCTCATTGTCAATCATATGATAGCTACTTTAAATACGAATGTTTTAAGTACACTAAGAGGCAGAGTTTTTAAGAGTGAATTAAAAAATATTGTAAAAAAGAAACCCACTTAAATATAAACCATGGACGGTAAATTTAAAAAAAGAAACTATCGATGGTTTAAATTGTAGGAATGGAGAAAGATGTATCATGCTAATACTGATCAACAGAATCCTGGAGGAGATTTACATCAGTATAATTTTGTAAATTATGCAGCTCCAAGGGTCTATCTCTCCACATAATCTTTTTTTAAAGAGAAGAAAAAAATGGTCAGTATCAGCTTTGTCAGAACTCTTGGAAATAGTCAAAGGCTTATAGCTTCTACCTAAGTAGTAAATCAATAAGAGGCAACCTAAAAATGGCATTCAAGGAAATCTTTCAAAACCCTAGCTACTACATGCTAAAAGAAATGGAGGCTTCAGAGACCACACACGATGTAGAATATGGTATATTATGTCTTAAGAAAAGGTTTAAAATTAACTAAACAAACAACTATTATCAACAAAAGGCAACAACAACAAAAATCCCAGAAGAGAATAAGTAAGAATCTGATTACCTTAGCTAACACATCATATGATTGACATATGATGTGAAATTAACAGAGAATATCCCTGAGGAAGCATAGCTGGAACTACTATACAAAGACTTTAAGCAAACTGCCTAAATATAGTCAGATAGTCAGATAGCTAAAAGAAACCCAAACATGATGTCTCAACAAATAGAGAATATCAACAAAGACAGAAAGTACAGAAATAATCCAAACAAAAGTTTTGGAGCTCTGAAGCACAAAATCTTCAATGAAAACATTACTAGGTCATTTCAATAGCAAATTTGAGCAGATAAAGTAAAGAATTAACAAACAATCTTAGGTCCACTGGGATTAACCGGGCTGAGGAGCAGGAAGAAAAAAAAAGACTGAATAAAGCCTAAGAGACCTGTGGGACACAATAAAGTACACCAATACATGCATAAGGGGAGTCTCAGAGTGTGAGAAATGAGATAAAGGAACAGAGAGAATATCTGAAGAAAGAATGAAAAAAGTCTCCAAATTCGATGAATTCATTAATCTGTACATACAAGAAACTCAACCAAATTTAAGAATAAAAACCAAGAGTTCCACACCAAGACACATCATAATTAAGCTATTGAAATCTAATGACATAGAGAAAAACTTGAAAGCAGCAAGAGAAAAGCAACTCATCATATACAAGAGATCCTCATTATGATTAAGAGTAGATTTATTATCAATGAGAATGTCATAGCCAAGAAAGGAATGGGATGACATATTAAAAGTGCTGAAAGAAAAAAAGAAACTGTCAACTGAAAATTTGTTAAACTATCCATCAAAAATTAAGGAGAAATTAAGACATTCTCTCACATGCAAAGGTTGAGAGCATTAATAATAATTGGCCCTATAAGAAATGCTAAAAATGCCCAACAAGAAGAAATTAAAAGACACTAGAGAGTGATTTTGAAGTTATATTGAAAAATAAAAAGCACCGTTAAAGGTAATTACACTTGTAAATATAAGAAGAAGTATTGATTTATTTTTGATTTGTAACTGTTTTTCCTGTGAGATTTAAGGTACAAACATAAAATGTTAATTATAGATCTATTTTAATGGTCAAGCATTGTATAAGGATGTAATTTGTGATGACAGCAACATAAGGGGAAAGGGAAAAAGCTTTATAAAAGCAGATTTTTATACACTATTGAAGCTAGGTGGTATTAATCAAAATACAGTGTTACAAGTTGAGTTTACTTTATTTTTTGTCCCCAGGTTAAATAGTAAGAAACTAACTGAAAGATATACAGAAAAAGAAAATAAAAATAAACTAAAATGGTACACTATAAATAAATAATAAAACAGATAAGAAGACAACAAGAAATAAATTTAGAAACAAAACAGAAAAAAGATAAGACACAGAAAAAGATAGCTAAATGGAAGGAAATCTTTCCTTATCAGAAATTACATGAAATATAAATGGATTAAATTCTCCAATGAAAAGATAGTGTGTCCAGAATTGGTGGGTTCTTGGTCTCGCTGACTTCAAGAATGAAGCTGTGGACCCTTGCACTGAGTGTTACAGTTCTTAAAGATGGTGTGTCCGGAGTTTGTTCCTTCAGATGTTCAGATGTGTCCAGAGTTTCTTCCTTCTGGTGGGTTCATGGTCTCGCTGGCCTCAGCAGTGAAGCTGCAGACTTTCATGATGAGTGTTACAGCTCTTAAGGTCTGGAGTTGTTCATTCCTCCTAGTGGGTTTGTGGTCTTGCTGGCTCAGGAGTGAAGCTGCAGACCTTCGTGGTGAGTGTTACAGCTCATAAAGGCAGTGTGGACCCAAAGAGTGAGCAGCAGCAAGATTTATTGCAAAGAGTGAAAGAACAAAGCTTCCGCAGTGAGGAAGGGGACCTGAGCGGGTTGCCACTGCTGGCTCGGGCAGCCTGCTTTTATTCCCTTATCTGGCCCCACCCACATCCTGCTGATTGGTCCATTTTACAGAGAGCTTATTGGTCTGTTTTACAGAGAGCTGATTGGTCCATTTTGACAGGTTGCTGATTGGTGTGTTTACAATCTCTGAGCTAGACACAAAAGTTCTCCAAGTCCCCACTAGATTAGCTAGACACAGAGCACTGATTGGTGCATTTACAAACCTTGAGCTAGACACAGGGTGCTGATTGTTGTGTTTACAAACCTTGAGCCAGACACAGAGTGCTGATTGGTGTATTTACAATCCCTTAGCTAGACATAAAAGTTCTCCAAGTCCCCACCAGGTTAGCTAGATACAGAGTGCTGATTGGTGCATCCAAAAACCCTGAGCTAGACACAGAGTGCTGATTGGTGCATATACAATCCTCCAGCTAGACATAAAAGTTCTCCAAGTCCCCACTAGACTCAGGAGCCCAGCTGGCTTCACCTAGTGGATCCCACACCAGGGCCACAGGTGGAGCTGCCTGTCAGTCCTGCACCATGTGCCCACATTCCTCAGCCCTTGGGTGGTTGATGGGACTAAGCTCTGTGGAGCAGGAGGCGGTGCTTATTGGGGAGGCTCAGGCCGCGCAGGAGCCCACGGCATGGGGGAGGTTCGGGCATGGTGGGGTGCAGGTCCCAAGCCCTGCCCCATGGGGAGGTAGCTGAGGCCCAGCAAGAATTCAAGTGCAATGCCAGTGGGCCGGTGCTGCTGGGGGACCCAACACACCCTCTGCAGGTGCTGGCCTGGGTACTAAACCCCTCACTGCCTGGGGCCGGTGGTGCCAGCTGGCTGCTCTGAGTGCGAGGCCTGCTGAGCCCACACCCACGCAGAACTTATGCTGGCCCACGAGCACCACATGCAGCCCCGGTTCCCTCCTGCGCTTCTCCCTCCACACCTCCCGGCAAGCAGAGGGAGCAGGCTCCAGCCTCGGCCAGCCCAGAGAGGGTCTCCCACAGTGCAGTGGTGGGCTGAAGGGCTCCTCAAGTGCGGCCAGAGTGGCCACCAAGGCCGGCCGAGGAGGTGCCGAGAGTGAGCAAGGGCTGCAAGGGCTGCCAGCACGCTGTCACCTCTCAATCCCCCCCTCTAAACAGGACACCCCAACTGCTGTTGGGAATTTGACCTATGACTGCTCTAGCTACTTCCTGCTGGATGGGGCAATGAAGGGGCCCTGCAGTCCTAGTGTCCTGCAGAGGGGAGCTCTCTAGGCCAGTGAAAGTGCCAGTGGGTCGGTCCAGGGGTCTCAGTAGAAGTTGTTAGTTGAACTCATTTGGGGTTCCATTCGTAAGACCATCTGTAGCTTGAAGGCCTTGATTCTAGAGGAAACAAATTTGACAAGAAGGTTAAAAATACAGGGCCCAAAGGTGAGTAACAGCAAGACGGCTGCCACAGGACCTAGAAAGGGGAGAAGCCATGTTGCCCAACTCCAGAGGTTGGTATAAAAGTTTGAAAGGCGTTGTCTGATTTCAGAAGCCTTTCCCTGTAAACTCTGGGTGGCATCTGGTACTATCCCTGACTGGTTAGTGTAAAAACAACACTCTTCCCCTAAGAAGGTGCAGAGTCCTCCTTTCTCAGCAGTGAGGAGGTCTAGGCCTCAGCAGTTTTGGAGAGTCATTGCTGCCAAAGAGTCTATTTAGGATTGTAAACTAAGGATAGATTTCGTTATTTCTTGTAAACTGTCTGAAAAATCCTTTGAGAGTGTGTGGTAGTAGGATAATGAAGTAGTTAAACTGGCTATTCCGGTTCCTGTAGCAGTAGCCATTCCTAACCCTATAAGCAAAAGCAGTGCTTTGAAAGAAATTTATTGTTGCAAATATCTACATTAAAAGAAAGTTTTCAAAACACAACCTAATTTTACACCTTAAAGATGTAAAATAGATGAGCAAACTAAACACACATATAGCAGAAGAAAAGGAATAATGAATATCAAAGTATCAATAAGTTAAATACAAGATTCAAAATTTATAAAATAATCAACAAAAGCAAAAGTTAGTTATTTGAAAATATCAAAAATTTTAAAAATATCTAGGTTGACTTAGAAAAAAATAACTCAATTACTAAAATCTGAAATAAATGTGAGGACATTACTACTCATAGTACAAAAATAAACAGAATTATAAGATAATATTATAGGCAATTATAAGCCAATAAATAAGATAATCTAAATGAAATGAACAAATGTCTAGATAAAATTAGTGAGACTAACTGAAAATGTATCAGAAAATATGAACACACCTATAACAAAAGAAATAATCAGTATTCAAAAGTCACCCCAAAATGAAAAGACCAGAGCAAAAATGGCTTCTCTGGTGACTTCTACAAATTCTTTAAAGAAGACAACACCAATTCTTTCACATTCTTCCAGTGTATAAAATAGAAAAGAATATTTACTGACTCATCCTATGACCCAAATTCAGATGAAGACATTACCATAATAAAAAAACTACAGACTAAAATCCCTCATGAATACAAATGGAAAAAATCTCTGAAATGCAATGATGGTTTAGCATGTAACAATCAGTCAATATAATATGTCACATTAATAGAATGAATAAAGAAAACCCATACAATTATCTCAATTGATACAGAAAACAAATTGAAATAAATCCCACACACTTTCATAACAAATATTCAAAAAACAAGAAATAGAAGAGAACATCTTCAGCATGATAAAGGTTATTTACAAAAATCTCATTCCATCATATACCATGGGATAAGAATGAAAGAATTCTCTCTAAGATGGGGAAAAAATGAAGACACTGGCTTCTATTACTTCTATTAAACATTGTACTAGAATAGCTAGCCCAAACATTTAGGGAAACCAAAGAAATACAACGCATCCAAATTAAAAAGGAAAAAGTAAAGTGAAATTCTTCTTATTCACAAATGACAAAATCTTACATATAGAGAATCCTAAAGAATCTACCAAAAACTTAAAAATTATTGGAGTTAATAAATGAATTTAGCTAAGTTGTGGGGCACAAAATCTCAACAAACAAAAATCAGTTTGTTTCTATAAAATAGCAATGAACAATCCAAAAATAAAAAAAAAAATAAAGCGTATGCCATTTACAACAGGATTCAAAATAATAAAATATCTAGGAATAAATTTAACCAAGTAAGTGAAAGAATTTAGCACTGAAAACTCCTAAAACATTGTGGAAAGACGTTAAAGAAGACATACATAAATGGAAATGTAGCTTGTGTCGATGGATGGGAAGACAATATATTTAAGATGGCAATGTTACCCAAAGTAATCTATAAATTTAATGCAATCTCTATCAACATTCCAATGGCGTGTTTCACAGAAATGGAAAATTCAATTAATAAATTTATATGGAATTAGAAGGTGATCACTTTTTTGGAAGTTTGAGAATAACGTATGTGGATACTTATGAAATGTTTAGTAGAATTTACTTATGCCAAACTTGAGTGTCTTTTCATGGTATATTTTTGAGATAAACTCTTTGAAAATTCTGTAATGGAACATGTTGATGTGTTCACTTGAGCTGTTTTTTGGAAGGGATTTCAGATTCAAATCTTACAGAATAGGTTCTATAAAAGTCTTCAAGCCGTTTTTTTTTTTTTTTTTTATTCTTTAAGAAATATAAAGATTTGATCCATGGGGTTCTTGAGCTCACCTAAAACTTTGCATGTATTCTTATCCAATCCTACATTTTTAGTTTACCAGATCTTTCCTGAAATATCTCTCATTAACACCTATTTTTGTGGTCTGGTTTGGTAACCAGGTGTGATGTTCTCCTGATACACGAGTCCTTGAGAATCTTCCTATTAATTTCATGCTATGCTGAAAAATGGATATATCAGGAAGACTGCCTGCGGTCTTACCTGCCTAGATTCATTGTTCAGTGTTCTGTATTTCTGGCTCTGCCTAAAGAAGAGCTGCTGTAACTATGATTCCTACCCTCTCAGATGTATTTTATCTTTGACAATAACCATATATAATATTCACCTATATTCTTAAATACCTGAAACCAAAAAAAATATGTTGATCAATATATCTGTAGATTACTATATATTTACCAAAGTATCAGAATAAACTTTCAATAATATTAGCTATTTTAAGCCGGTACTGTAAATAGCATGGATGCTTTTCTTCATACATAGAAGCTGACAAAAAAAATCTAAATTTAAAATTGGCAAGTGATTCTGTTCATTTCTTACCTGTGATTTCTGAGAACTGCAAAAAAATAAGTGAAATTTTTGTTGTCATAATCCAGTATTAATTTCTGATGGTTATTTCTTGGAGGTTGGGAAAGTTTTGTTAGGATGCAAGATACAATAAGCATTAGAATGTAGAAAATAATGATAAATTGGACTCTATTAAATTTAGAAACTTTATCAATAGATTTCCTTGAAAGTATAAGGAGCCAAGATAGCATGGTGATGACATTTCAATACACATAACAAATGGAGGGCCCCTACCAAAAAAAAAAAGAATTCAGAAAGAATCTTTGCTAACCAATAAAAAAACAAAGAATCCTATAAAAAGGTGGGTAAAATGTGCGAACTGGTAACCATTCTAAAATATTTCCAAGTGGCCAATAAATATTTAAAATGTGCTAAACCTCATCAAGGAAATGTGAATGAAAACCATCATGAGACATAACTACACATTCTCCCCGATTACTTAAAAAAATGCACAATACTCTTTAAGACTTTGGACAATGAAACTCCCATACACTACTTGTGAATGAGAAAATTAGTATAACTATTTGGGAAAATTGTTTTGCAATATTTCCTGAAATTGAGTTGATGCCTTCCCTATGGCCATGCAGTTCTATTCCTAGGTAGACACTCCAACCAAATGTATCCTGTTTAATCCAAAACTGTATAACTATTTGTAGCAACATTATTTACATTAACCCAAAACACTTGGAAATTATTTATGTGTTTATTAATTGCAATAATTAATCATTATTAATTATTATAGCGTAGTATAATAATATTGAAGTGAAGCACTACTACTCATGGAAAAAGAAGTGAATGGATCTCACTAACATAATAAGCCAGACACAAATAATGCATGTTGTATGTTTTCTTCCATGTGAAGTTAAAAAACAGCTATGTTGTCAGAAATCAGGATAGTGATTTACAATTGAGCAAGAGGGATTATTACTAAGGGTCAGTTAAAGGGTTTCTGGAATTTTGGTAGTATTCTGTCTCTTGACTTCGGTGGTTTTCATTGGTGTATTCAATTTTTGTGACACTTAGAATTGTATACTTATTATTTGTGATTTTTTTTCTGTAAGCATCTTATATGCCAATTTCAACTTAATTTAAAGGTTGTGAAAGTTATCTAAACAATCTAGCCATAACTTCTTTCAAAAGAATATATCTTCTGCCTTCAACTCCAATCCGTAGCTTAGAACTTGTGACTGAGCTGAGATTATGTAAGTAAAGGGGGACAACTTGTATAACAGATGCTCTCTGGGCACTGCTCTTCTGAACGTCTTGTAGGATTAGCAATGCCCAAGATGCAAAAAATTATTATCAAATCATTGAATCAGCATAAAGATTATAAAAAGTAAACAAAGTTGTTTATATTAATAATACAGAATTTTATTCACTGTGCATTCTTCTTTAGAAAATACCAACATAGACTTTCTTTTGGAATATAAGAGTATCTTCTTGATTTGCCAGAACAGATAATAATCTGTACTTTTGGTGTTTAATGAAGCAAGCTATTCTGCCTTTCTTCCATCTTCCAGCCCCACTCTCAGTAGTGAACCAAAAAAGTAACTTTGAGATATTCATTGATTTTTAAACTTTGTCTTTTAACATAATTTTGATTTGAATGACGCATTCGGCTCTGTAGTCATCCATGTAACTGCATACAAACAATTGTAATACTCTTTTAGCTCCATAATAGGCTTCTTATAACATGATAAATTCAAATACAGTAGTCCACTTAAACCCTTCATATCTCATACTCATTCTGATTTTTTTAACTATGGCATTTGATCTCTGGGTTTGTCCATAACTTCGTATAGCATTTAGGTTAAAATCATTAGATACATTCAGCATTTACTGAATTCAAAGTATTGATCTCTCTTTGGGAATTTTTTTTTCTGTCTTTCCTCTTACATTATGTTGTATAAGATATTAAGATAAAAATTCTGGTTTTCTCATGTAATAGCCTACGTGGTCATTTAAATAAAACTCTGTAAGCTCACTTTTTATGTTTGTTTAAAATTTGTTCAGTGCTTGAATATTCTGTCCTCAGTTGTTTTTAAAGCTGAAAAAGAATACTGTCAATCATATTTTTCAAGTCTTACATCCTCCAGACTAAGTTTGTGTTCATACTTTGACGTGCTTCTACTGCATATTAAAAGTGAGCTTATTTTTTTTTTAAATTCTTCTAAGATGAATTATTCTGCTTGGGCGGGCCAAGCTGTTCCAAAAAGCCTACTGCTGATGGTGCTTAACTAAAGTCAACAAAGAGAAGATAAGGCTTACTGGTATTGTTTGTTGAAATATTAACACCAATTCCAGCTGTAAAAATGATAAATACTTTAATAAAGATAGCTTGTTCCTCACCAAAGTTTGCAGTACTCTTTATTCTATCCATGCAGGAATATTCCCAGCAGACAGATTTAATCTCACAAAAGATATGGGTTACTAAAATGTGGCTATCTTACGAATGTCCCTAAAGCTTTTAAAACAAGCAGCCAACATGTACTACCTACATTTCACAACCTTTAAAACACCACATATCTTTTCCTAATTGCTTTTATTTAAAGGAACACATTAATTTTGTTTAAGATACTACTTCACAAATGGACCTCTAAGATGTTCATCTGTACACCAATTGTGTGATATTTTCCTTTGGTTCTCGGATTTTGTTTAGCTTTTTTTTTTTGTCTGTGTGTGGTGTTTGTTGAGGTTTCTTTTTGAACTTTTTGTGAGATTTCGTTTTTATTTTTGTTTTTGTAAAATACATTCACATGGACCGCATGGAGTCAGGAAGCAGCATAAATTATGTAGGACTACAGAGTTAAATTGTCGAACTAAACTTGGATGGTAGAAACATTAGGTACTAATTTGTTGGCAGAGATGCTTTGTGTCGTGTGCTGTGTGTATGCTGATTAAAAAAGCATTATATGGGTCCAATGCCACTTCAGTTTCATGAGCTTTTTATGTGACATGGCACATCAAATCTGCCAAGCACAGGACCATCTGGAAAGAGAGTACCAGTCAGGAAGTTGATTTCATATGAAGGAAAATAATCTAGGTAAATATTACACATAATTAAAGATAAAAAAGTAACAGATGGAAACATGGCAATTGTGTACATATGTATGTATATACACACACATATATATGTACACACATAATTATACATATATACCCACATTACATATATAAACATCTGTGTCAGTATCTATATCATTTAACAAATAAATAATTTTCTAAAATGTTTAGTGTATATATATGTAAGTTCAATCTTGTTTGTATAACAAGATAAAATAAATAGTACTGCAATACATATTTTGTTAAAATATATCTTAACATTTAAAAATTATTTTCTCTGTAGTTATTTATAATAGTAAATTGAGCACATACCATGTACCAATCATTATGTTAGGGACTAGGGATTTCATGGCACTCCAAATAAAAACATTTGGAAAGAAACCGAACTGAAAAATAACCAAAATGTTTGGAGCTGAAGTAGCCCCAAGTTGTACTGGGCAAAGCAAGGTTCGAATCATGGAGACTGAAAAGATTACAGGGGGAAAAAAAAAAAAAACACCTACGTTATCTTCATTTTAAGACACTTGAAATAGTTTAAGAAGGTATGTATAAAGCACCTGTTTTTGTTTGTTTGTTGTTAAGTCACTGTCTATGACATAATAAATGCAGTGAAGATAATTTACAGAACTGGAATAGTTTGCTTTAATATTTACAGGTAGATACAACAACCAACTTAGAGTTCCAACACTGTTGTGTTTTTCAGTGTTCAGTTTTTTTAACCACCTAATCGTCTGTTTACCTTTTTAATTTTTTTAGCCAACTTGACAGGAGAAAATTATGCATTATGCCAGTTTAATTAATAATCAGGGCAATAATTTTGAAATATCATATTTGCTATGCTGTAGTCCTGTTCTGTGAGTGTTCCATGTATGCCTTTGCCCATGACATCTATGGGAAGAGCATTTCAGGCTGAAGTGAAAACAAGTGCAAAAGAATTGAGGTGAAAAAGAGTGGGTTATTAAAGAGTCAGGTAGAGATTACTTTTTTACTTTATACCAAAGTATAAGAAAGAATAAATATGTAAATTTTATTCCATTTAATTTTTTAACATAGTATTATTATTGATTTAAATTAATTTCAAATAGCTAAAACTGATAGCAATTTGCTATAGAGAATTAGATATATTGTTACAAAATCAAGTATATGCATATATATGTTTTATGTATGTATATAGACATAGGTTTACATGTTTGTATATATTAATACGTATTTATAAATATTTGAATTTATACATATTAATATTTATATATGGATATGTATTGTATGCAGTACATATATACATAAATATATTGAAATATGTTTATATTTATGCATATGCATGCACCAAACATATATTTATTCATCTGTTTAGAAAAATAATATCCTATTGTTTTACATTACATGGTAAAATGTCATGAACTTCACTTTAGGTTAATATAGAGAGCTGAATTCACTATTTTTTTTTTTTTTTTTTTGGGACAGAGTCTCACTCTGTTGCCCAGGCCGGAGTGCAGTGGCACGAACTCTGCTCACTGCAAGCTCCGCCTCTTGGGTTCACACCATTCTCCTGCCTCAGCCTCCCAAGTAGCTGGGACTACAGGCACCAGCCACCAAGCCTGGCTAATTTTTTTCTGTATTTTTTTTAGTAGAGATGCGGTTTCACCATGTTAGCCAGGATGGTCTCAATCTCCTGACCTCATGATCTGCCTGCCTTGGCCTCCCAAAGTGCTGGGATTACAGGTGTGAGCCACTGCACCCAGCCTGAATTCAGTATTTTTAAAAAGTTTTTAGTAGTTTAAATTATGGATGCAACACAATTTATTTAACAATTTCTCAAAGAAACATAGGTTATTCATTTTTCCACTCCTAATAACTCTGTATTTAACATCTTTTCAAATATATACTTAGTCTTGATATTCCAGGTACATTTTTCAAAATGTTATTCTTTTGTTTTGCATTTGTCTGATTTAAAGGTATGGGCTTGCTGTGTACAGAAGGTAGATACGAATTGTGTTCTCTTCTTTGAGTCATATCCCCTGAAATCTTGGTGAGGAGAGCTCTTTTATGCCCCTCCCCCATTTTTTAAAATAATGAATGTAAGCTGATTTTGACATGAAGAGGCTCATTGTGAGGTGATGTTTTGTTTTTGACTTAAACGATAGGTCTAGGTAAGTAATGTGATGGTCTAAGTAAGAGTTTTAGGAAGAAGCAAAGGTATGTACAAGTTGTAGTTCTCATTGTGATGAAGAATGAAGCTGATTTGTTTAGAGAAGCAGAGATGCAAGCCTGAGGCGGAACAAGCAAATGTAACTCACGATTTCTTTGGTCTTGGTTTTAGCGTCCTGGCCACCTTGCAGTACATGTGTCTATGGGTTCTGAACAATAACCCTTTGTTGGTTAATTTTAAACTTTCTTTTTTCTTTATATAGTATAAGGGGTTTCTTATAGTAAAAATATTATTGATTTCTTATAAAATACTTTGGAGCAGACATTTTTCCACCATTATCCATTTTGTGAGTGGTTAGATATGGCAATATTTAAATACGATGTTAACATTTTGCAAAAACTGAACCATTTTGCAGAACATTTATGGCGTAGTCCTCTTTGAGGTAACATAATACTGACTTAAATTTTTATAATTAATTTTTATGAGTCTGACTATTGGTAGAATCAAACTGGTACTTTTTAAAGCATTCTCACTTTATCCATCTCAATCCTTAGTACCATAAAGGGTAAGTGTAAGAATTTTCTTATGTGAAAGGTTGATTAACTACAAAACATTATTGGAAGAAGATGACCAGCATTTCCCAAACTTAAAAGTTCTGAGAACATACTGTATTATTAGCAACATTTCTTGGAATCCATAATGTAGCCATAATTTATCAACACATTCCTTTTGTCTCAATTTAAAAAAATAAAAGACCAAGTGAACTAACCTGGTCCAGAGAGGTTACGTGACTGGCCCACAGTGACTGAGTTATTTAGTGACTGAATGTAGTTTTTGTTTGTTTGTTTGTTTCTCAGGTAATGCTCTTTTGGGGACTTATTGAAAGATAAGACTTCTAAGTCATCACCATCTCTCCAATTAAAAGTATAGTGGAGGCACAGGGACAAACGTAAGCCAACACCTGACTAATCCAAACTACCAAGAATATATTTTCAGTTTTTACCAAACAATATATTATGCAATTAGAGTTCTTTTTGGAGGCTTGCAAATCCTCTAACAGTAGAATTTTGTCTGTCTTTCTTTTAATTTTCCTGCTACTTAGGTTTATGTTAAGAAAATCTTTTCATCTTACATTAGTTCTTCACTGAATGCAAGTCTCTGGTGGCAATGTAATAAAATAGAATTTATTAATCTTAAAGTGGATTAGAGTTATCTTTGTCACTCTAGCCTGGAAATCATTCATAGCTGTCAGACAATTGGGATAAAACTTATGATCTCTTATCTAGAAAATGCTCTGTGAGCAGTAATACTTAAGATTCATATAATTTCAATTAATATATATGTTAATTCATTAATACATGAAACCTTAAATTGATATAATCACCCCAGCTTCACAAGATATTCATCAATATAAGTAGTTATAGTTTAAAATATGTATGTACTTCAGGAAAAAATTCTGTATATCATAGAAAGTAGAATTTGTCATATTGGCGTGTGACATTATTTCAGCAAGCCTATTTCCATCCTGTTCTTAGCTGCGTAACTTTTAAAGATTTATTGTTTCAGTTACAATTAGGTAGTAATGGTAATACTTCCAAAGTAAACGTAAGGAAGTTTATTAGCTTATATAAGGTGTAAGTCTGACAGCAAACTAGAACTACCTAAAAGAATTTCACTTCAGATGATAAAGGATAAGGGAAGGAACCTAAAAGCAGCAAGAGAAAAGAAACAAATAACATCCAATGGAGCTCCAATATTTCTGGCAGCAGACTTTTCAGTGGAAATCTTCTAGGCCAGTAAAGAGTGGCAAGACATATATAAAGTGCTGAAGGAAAAAGTCTTTTACCCTAGAACAGTGTATCTGGTAAAATATATTCTTCAAACATGAAGGAGAAATAAAGACTTTCCTAGACAAACAAAAGCTGAAGAATTTCATAAATACCAGACCTGTCCTATAAGAAATGCTAAAGAAATTACTTCAATCAGAAAGAAAATGTCATTCATAAGAAGTAAATAATCAACCTAAGGTACAAAACTTAATGGCAATAGTAAGTACACAGGAAAAACTCAGAATATTATAACACTGTAACTGTGCTATGTAAACTGCTCTTATCCTAAGTAGAAAAAATAAATAATGAATCAATAAAAAATAATAACTACACAACTTTACAAGACATAGTCATTACAGTAAAATATCAATAGAAACAACAAAATGTTAAAAAGTGGAGGGGAAGTTAAGGCAAGTTTTTAGTAGTTTACTTTTTGTTTGTTTATGCAAAAAGTGTTAAGTCATTATCAGGTTAAAATAATGTGTTATAAGACAATATCTGCAAGCCTCATGGTAATCTATAAATGAAAACGCATCCAATGCATACACACACCCACCCACACAACACACACACAATAAAAAGCAAGAAACTAAATCATATCACCAGAGAAAATCACCCTCATTAGAGGAAGATAGAAAGGAAAGAAAGAAGGAAGAGAAGACCAGAAAACAAATAATGAAATGGTAAGACTAAGTCCTTACTTATCAATAATAACATTGAATGTAAATGTACTAAACTCTTCAATCAAAAGACATAGGCTATCTGAAAGCATAAATAAAGAAAGGATAAAGGATAAAGGATAAAGAAATAAAACCCATTGATCTGTTGCCTACAAGAAACACACTTTACCTATAAAGAGGTATGTAGGCTAAATGTAAAGGGATGAAAAAGATCTTCCAAACCAATAGAAACCAAAAAAAAAAAAAAAAAAAAAAAAAAAGCAGGAGTAGCTATACCTGTATCAGACAAAATAGATTTCAAGGCAAAAACTATAGAAAGAGACAAAGACAGTCACTATGTAATTATAAAGGGGTCAATTCAGCAAGAGGATATAACAAGTTTAAATATATATGCTCCCAACACTGAAGCATCCAGATATATAAAGGAAATATTATTAGAGTTAAGAAAAGACAGGTCTCAATACAATAATAGCTGGAGACTTTAGCACTGAACTTTCAGTATTAGACAGATCTTCAGACAGCAAATCAACAAAGAAAGATCACAATTAATCTTCAGTATAGACCAAATGAATCCAATTGATATTTACAAAACATTTCATTCAAGAGCTGCAGAGTACACATTCTTTTATTCAACACATGAATCATTCTCAAGGATAGACCATATGTGAGGTTACAAATCAAGACTTCCAACATTCTAAAATAGTAAAATAATATCAAGCATCTTCTCTGACCACAATGGAATAAAACTAGGAATTAATAACAATTAATTTCAGAATTTTTAATTTAAGAAATTTTGGAAACTATAAAAATGCATGGAAATTAAGGAATATGCTTTCAAATGGCCAGCAGGTCAATAAAGAAATTAAGAAAGAAATTGAAAATTTTTTGAAACAAATTATAATGGAAACAGCATAGCAAAAGCTATGTGACACCACAAAAGCAGTACTAACAGGGAAGCTAATAGCTATAACTGCCGACATCAAAAAAGAAAAAACCTTCAAATAAACAATCTTATTCATAAACAATCATAAATCTTCAAATTATGCATCTTAAAGAACTAGAAAAGCAAGAGCTAACCAAACACAAAATCAGTAGAAGAAAAGAAAGAGTAAATATCAAAGCAGAAATACATGAAATTGAAAACAACAATACAAAAGACCAATGATACAAGAAGTTGGATTTTTGAAAAGTTAAATGAAATTGACAAGCCTTTAGCCAGACTACCTAAGAAAAAAAGAAGAGCCAAATAAATAAAATCAGAAATGAAAAGGGAGACATTACCACTGATGTTGCAGAAATTGAAAAGATCATTAGGGGCTACACTGAGTAACTACATGCCAATATATTGAAAAATCTAGAAGAAATAGATAAATTCCTACACACATACAACCTACCAAGATTGAATCACAAATAAATGCAAATACTGAACAGATCAATAACAAGTAATAATATTGAATTCATAATAGTCTTCCGATAGAGAAAAAGCCAGAAATCAAAGGCTTCACTGCTGAATTCTACCAAACATTTAAAGAACTAATAAAAAATCCTATTCAAACTATTCTGAAGATGGAGGAAGAGGGAATGTGTCCAAACTCATTCTACAAGGCCAGTATTACCTTGATTCCAAAATGACACAAAGGCACATCAAACAAACAAACAAACAAACAAACAAACCCACAGGCCAATATCTCTGATGAATATTGATGCAAAAATTCTCAACAAAATATTAGTAAATGGAATTCAACAATACATTAATAAGATCAGTCATCATCACCAACTGAAACTTATACCTGGGATGCAAGAATGGTTCAATGTATGCAAATCAATTAAAGTGATACATAATTATCAATAGAATTAAGAATAAAAATAATATCATTTCAATTGATACAGACAAGAAAGATTTGGTAAAATTTAACATCACTTTATGATAAAAAGCCTCAAACAACTGGAGATAGAAGTAACATACCTCAACATAATAGAGGTCACTTATGGCTAGTATCATGCTGAAAGGGAAAAAAAGAAAAAAACTGAAAACCTTTCCTCTGAGTTCTGGAACATGACAAGGATGCCCACTGTCACCACTGTTATTCAACATACTACTGGAAGACCTAGCTAGAGCAATCAGAAAACAGAAAGATATAAAAGTAGCCATATTGGAAAGTAAGAAGTCAAATTATCCTTGTTTGCAAATGATATGATCTTATATTTGAAAAAACCCCAAAGACTCCACCAAAAAGTATTACAACTGACAAACAAATTCAGTTTGTTTGTGTAAACTGACACAAATTGTGTCAAGCAAAATTGCAGGACACAAAATCAACTTACAAAAATCTGTGTCATTTCTATATGCCAACAATGAACTATGTGAAAAAGAAATAAAATTAGTAATCCTATTTATAATAAACACACACAAATTAAATACGTAGAATTAACCAAAAAAGTAAAAGATCTCTATAATAAAAACTATAAAATATACATAACAGAAATTGAAGAGAAAACCAAAAAAATGTAAAAATATTCCATGTTTGTGGATTGAAAGAATCAATATTGTTAAAATGTCCATACTATCCAAAGCAATCTACAGACTCAATGCAATCTTTATCAAACTTTCAATTACATTCTTCACAGAAACAGAAAAAAAATTTCAAATTTATATGTAACCACAAAAGGCCCAGAGTAGACAAAGCTATCCTAAGCTAAAATAACAAAACTGGAGGAACCACATTACCTGACTTTAAATTATACTACAGAGCTATAGTAAGCAAAACAGCATGGCACTCACATAAAAACAGACACATAGATCAATGGGACAGAGTAGAAAAGTCAGAAACCAAAACAGCATGGTACTGGCATAGAACCAGACACATAGATCAATGGACTAGAATAGAGAAGCCAGAAACACACCCACACACATACAGTTAGCTTATTTTTGACAAAGGTGTCAGTAACATACATGGAGGAAAGACAATCTCTTTAATAAACGGTGTTGGGAAATTGGATATCTATAAGCAGGAGAATGACACTAGACCCTTATCTGTCACTACACATAAAAGCCAAATAAAATGAATTAAAGACTTAAATCTGAGACCTCAAACTATGAAACTACTGTAAGAAAACATTGGAGAAACTCTCCAAGACATTGGTCTAGGCAAAGATTTCTTTAACAGTACCATACAAGCACAGGAAACCAAAGTAAAAATGAACAAATAGAATTACATTAACTTAAAAAGCTTTTTTACAGTTGAAGAATACAATCAACATAGTGAAGAGACAACCCACATAATGGGAGAGAATATTTTCAAACTAACAGTCTGACAAGGGATTAAAAACCAGAATACATAATGAGTTCAAACAACTCTATAGGAAAAAATTTAATAATCCAATAAAAAAATGGGTACCAGATTTGAATATACATTTCTCAAAAGAAGACATACAAATGGCAAACAGGCATATGAAAAGGTCATCAACATAATTGATCATCAGAAAAATGCAAATTGAAATCACAATGACATATGACCTCACCCCTCTTAAAATGGCTTTTGTCCAAAAGACAAGCAATAACAAAGGCTGCCAAGGATGTGGAGTAAAGGGAAACCTTATACATTGTTGGGAATGGAAGGTAGTACAACTACTGTGGAGAAATGTTGGGGGTTCTTAACAAAATTAAAAACTGAGCTACCATATGATTCATCCCATTGCTGGGTATATACCCAAAATAAAGGAAATCAGTATATTGAAGAGGTATCTGCACTTCTGTGTTTATTGCACCACTGTTTACATTAGTTAAAATTTTGAAGCAACCTAAGTGCCCATTAACAGATGAACAGATAAAGAAAATGTGGTACATATACACAATGCAGTACAATTCAGTCATAAAAAAGCAATGAGACCCAGTCATTTGCAAAAACATGGATTGAATTAGAGATCATTGTGTTAAGTGAAATAAGTCAGGCACAGAAAGACAAGCATCACATGTTCTCACTTACTTATGAGATCCAAAAATCAAAACAATTTAACTTACGGGCATGGAGGGTAGAAGTGTTGTTACCAGAGGCTGGGAAGGGTAATAAAAGGCTGGGTGAGAGGTAGGGATAGTTAATGGGTACAAAAAAATTAGAAAGAATCAATAAGATCTACTATTTGATAGCACAACAGAGTGATTATAGTCAATAATAACTAAATTGTACATTTTAAATAACTTAAACAGTGTAATTGGATGGTTTGCAACTCAATGAGTAAATGCCTGAGGGGATGGGTACCCCATACATCATGATGTGCTTTTGTCACATCATATGCCTGTATCAAAACATCTCATGTCTCCCATAAATATATACACATACTATGTACCTACAAAAATTAAAAATTAAAAAAATGAAGTCAGGGTTCTGTTTCAGTGAATTAGGTACTAACTACTGAATGTTACTACAAGGCCAAAAAAGACAGCCTGTCATTTTTTTCCACCCACACCTAGAATGCCATTTTACATGAATTAAATAAATTAATGGATGGATGTCTGGCTGGCTGGATGAATGAATAAGTCATCCATTTATATTTTTAAAAATATTTATATACAACTTATTTGATGAGATCAGCCATGGCAACATAGCAAGACCCCATGTCTGTAGAAAATTACATGTATATATCTAAAATCTTACTTGAAACTAAACTATCAGTTTTCAATCATTTTACCTTGCTTGAAAGATAGAAATGTAGAGTACAAGTTTTAACTGAAAAGAGAAATGGAGGAAAACAATTGACCGATTATACTGTAGAAGCCAGAGGTTGGAATTACATATCAAAAAGACAGCATTCCTTTTAAGGGTTCTCAGTTTAGCAGAAGAGACAGGCAGATATGGTGGAGATTTTAATGGAGTAAATGTGATAAGTGCTAGTATTATTAGGGCTCATCTGAGGATCTTGTAAATAAATCCAAGTGTTAAAGGTAAAGTTCAAGAAATATCATGGTGAGCAATAAATAACACATTATGTTTTTGAAACTATAGTTAGTTTTGTCTTTTCAAAACATGTAGGTAATAATGAGAAGCAGTAGAAGTGGAGACTGATATGGTTTGGCTGTGTCCCCGCCGAAATCTCATCTTGAATTGACCTCCCAAAATCCCTACGTGTCATGGGAGCGACCCAGTGGGAGGTAATTGAATCATTGGGGCAGTTTTTTTCCCCTGCTGTTCTCATGACAGTGAATAAGTCTCACAAGACCTAATGGTTTTATAAAGGTCAGTTCCCCTGCACACTCTCTCTTGCCTGCTGCCATGTAAGACATGTCTTTGCTCCTCCTTCACCTTCTGCCATGATTGTGAGGCCTCCCCAGCCATGTGAAACTGTGAGTCCATTAAACCTCTTTCCTTTATTAGTCACCCAGTCTCGGGTATGTCTTTCTTAGCACAGTGAGAACAGACTAATACAGAAACATAGTCAGGTAGCAGATTACAGTGAGTTTCATAAGCCCTGCTTTGAAGTCTGACTTTAGCTTATTTGGCTGAGGAGAGTTTGCAGGCTGAGAAGACTATAGAGGGAAAATCCTAGAAACTACCGATAAAGACAGATTAAAGTTTGGAAATGTGGATCATTATACACCTAGGAGCTCTATCATTTAGTCTATAATACCAAAGATATTATCATGCAAAATATGATGAATGGCTTTGCTATTCCATGTGGCATGCAGAAGAGTAGATAAAAGAAATGGAGGACAGCCAGTCTGGAGCTATGGGTATTTAATAGTGAGCCAAGAGGGAAGACACTAAATAAAACACATAAGGGCTCTTGTGGAACCAGGTATCTTGTTTGCTAGTTCTTTTTATTACTTCAGCTGCCTTCAGTACTATATTTATCTCTATAAGGCATTCCTTGCAGCTATACATAAATACTCTCACCAATAAGCTAATGAGTGGGAAAGAAAAAGAAATTTAACAATATTTTTTATACCTTTGATAACTGAGAGTAGATTATGAAACAGATGTTTTGCATTAAGGTGCATTGTGAAAGTGTACTCTAGCATAACTTCTAGAATTTTTCTATAAAAACAATAGCAATATATTTACCAATCAAGCAAAGTGTAGGCAGTTCAACACCTGTCAAGGAGATATAGTCAAGGAGCAACAATTATATCCTCTATATAATACTAATCCAACATATTCTAAATATATTTATTTAGACAAGGTAGCTTTTATTCTATATGCTAAAGAAAATTGGTATTTGGAACCTTAAAAGAAAAAAATTCCCCACTAATGTGTATGTCCAATACAATTGTTGGACAAAGGCAAGTTAGATTAGAATTCCAAAGCTACACATGGTGATAGAAGTGATTGTGCATTCCTTGGTGATCTATAAAATCAATTGCAACAATAGATCAAGCAGAATCAAAGTTGCCTGAGAAATCTCAGCACAAGTAACAAGTCATTACAAACCCTATTGAAACTCCCTTTTGTGTAATGACTAGGCCTAAGCCCAGACTGAAAACGTTAAAATAATTGACTCTGAGGGAGATGGGTGATCAGCCATGTTGCAACTTTTATGTAAAACTCTTGCTGAGGCCAGTATATTTTATATGGGAACATTGGAATCAAATTTTCCTTTAAAAGATGGAGATATACTTTTCTGCTACTACAAAGCAGGATTTATATAATTTATGTTTCAAATAAGACTGGGAATATTGTAGTATCAAATGAGGTATGTTTTTGGAATTCCATATCCCAAAGAAAGTTTTTTTCTATAATGAATGGAAACTAGCAAAATCTTAACATCTCACTATATAAGGATACTGCACCCACTTAAGTTGACTTTATCCCGAATGTCTTTTCACTGTGTGGAACTTAAATTTACATACATTTTTATGCATTCTAAGATAAACATATAGTTATGCATCTTCTTTGTTTCCCAGTTTAGCCAAAATGATGTATTATTATTTCTCTCTCTCTCTCTCTCTCCCCCCCCCTCATTTTTTTTTTTCCTCTCTCTCTCCTTCCATGACCCTTCTCTCTCCCATCCATCTTTAAGCCATGTTTTCTTTAGGGAAGATGGTGTTTTCTTTTCCTTATTTTTCGTTGAAAAACCTTCAGTTGTTTTGCTGTTTGACAACAATGAAAAGTTTGGCAATGGGACTACAATGAGAAATCTCAATTATCTTGGAAAAGGAAAATCAGATCTTTCATTAGATTTGGCCCATGTTCTTTGTGTGTGAGACATCAAGGCAAAAATATAATATTAACATTATTGAGATGTGATGGCAGAGCAGAACTTGACCAAAAGCATTATATACCTAAAGAAAAAGATGGAAAGTACCAGCCGCAAGAGAAATTAGGCAGATTTAGGAAGATATAAAATTGTATTTGTTAAATACAAATATTTAAGATGCTCACTTTAATTATGTACATTAGAAATGCAATGATATTCAGTCTTTTGGAGTCACTGGAAAGACAATTTCAATATTCAAAATGTCTACAGAAGATCACCTCAATCCAGATTAATTGCATTTTTGAATCATGTAACTAGCACCTAGCACATTTCCTGTCATATACTTGTTAAAATAAATTATCTGTTCTGATTTTATGCTCATTTGGTGAATCCATCCTTAAACATTGATTTACCAATGTAAACCAATGTATACACCTTCCTTAGATAAATCTTATGGTAACATCTTACCTTCCCTTAAGGAAGGGAATCAAATTATGTATTCCAACATGGGTATTCCAGTTTCACTCTAGTTATAATTCTTTCAGATAATTGAATTGAGTTGGATTGTTGGTTTTATTCACTGGTCTCATGAGTTTGGCCAGCTTTCTCTTTGATAGATTACACTTGTCCTTTGGCACTGTCATGTATAGATTTGGTAATACTTGATGATGCCAAATTCCCTATAAGTAATAATACTCTTGAAACCTCTTGACAGCTAGATTGCCTCTCCTAGTAATCTTTGCCTTTCATGGTAGCCTTTTGGACTACTACAGTTGATTTTGTTTCATTAAGAAACCAGGACTAACTGTTAGAAGAAAAAAATTACTTCTTCAAAATCATAAGAAAATAAATCCTCAATAGTTAACTGTTAAACTAAGTATTTTCTAGAGTGTAACACAGTGTGCTAAGGCTTTAAACATCTTTTCATTATATCTTCTCAACATTTTTATTGGTGGGACTTATTGTTATCATTTTAGGAATGGAAGGATTGAAGATTGAAGTAATTTTTCCCTGGTCAGTTAGTGATGGAGCTAGGATTTGAACCATGTTATTTCTGATTCTGAGTCTTGTATTTTAAAAGCTTGCTACCTATTGACAACAAGCACAACCTTATTAATGATTCATAGTCTATTTGCTAATATTACAATGCTTTAAAATCAGATTTTCCAAAATTTTGAGGAAGATTTTCTATGATAAAAATATTTAAGAATTCCAATTTAAAAACAGCTTCTTACAGAATTCTTCAGAGCTTTTAATATAACAATAAATGTTTTCAATCTAGAAGAAAAGAATGCAGCATAAACCCTTTTTAGGCTTATTTGGGCATAGTATATTATTTTCAGAAGGTGTTTCATAGGGCAAGAGCTTCATATACATATATTGAAATCGCTGATTTTTAAAATCTAGCAGTGAGAAACAAGGGAAAATTATGAAGCCTGTAAATTTGTAATTTTAATTAAAAAGCACTCATGTAAATGGAAATTGATAATTTGTTGGGAGCAAGCCCCCCAAAGTCTGGCCATAAACTGGCCCCAAAACTGACCATAAGTAAAATCTCTGCAGCAGTGTAACATGTCCATAATGGCCATAACGCCCAAGCTGGAAGGTTGTGGGTTTACGGGAATGAGGGCAAGGAACACCTGGCCCGCCCAGAGTGGAAAACCCCTTAAAGGCATTCTTAAGCCACAAACAAAAGCCTGAGAGATCTGTGTCTTAAGGGCATGTTCCTGCTGCAATTAATTCCGTCCATCCCTTCGTTTCCCATAAGGGATATTTTTAGTTAATTTAATTTCTATAGAAACAATGCTAATGACTGGTTTGCTGTTAATAAACGTGGGTAAATCTGTGTTTGGGGCTCTCAGCTCTGAAGGCTGTGAGACCCCTGATTTCCCACTTCACACCTCTATATTTGTTTGTGTGTGTCTTTAATTCCTCTAGCGCCACTGGGTTAGGGTCTCCCCGACCAAGCTGGTATCGGCAATAATTAATATCACCATCGTTAAATCGATTCACTAGAACCCAGAGTCTTCTAACTGACGCCTATCCTCAGAATTTACAGAATTTCTATTTGGATAAAAGAGCTTTATTTTCAGAAGAAGGCCACAGTAATTATTGTTTTTTTTCTAATAAGAATACCTGTAAACAATTTATATTTTGTTTTTATAATGTGCCCAGTGTACCTACAATGCAGATGGATGATCAAGAAACAGGAAACTTTATGTTCCCATCATTGACTTTCTTCACTAGTCAGCTATGTAAGTGGAATCTTGGGTTTTGGCACCTCACCTCATCTGTGGGCCTCACCAGAATTAATAAACTCACATATGCCATTTAATTTGGTCCTCAAAAATTGTGAAATAATCCAAAAAAAGTTTGTTATGAAAGATATTCACATAATGAAAGATTTGGCAATATTACATATGTATATATTTGTATATATATAATATTATATATACATATATAATTTATTATATATAAATATATACATATATAATATATTATAATATATAAATATATAATACATGTATATGTAATATATTTATATGTATATATAATGTCTCTATATTTTATCTATATATTAAACATATTTATATAGACATTTAAGAAATTTTACATTATGTCTTATACATGTATAAGCATACATAATTATATATGTATACTTAATTATATATGCATACATAATAATTAATGTATACATAATTATATACGTATACATAATAATTAATGTATGCATAATTATATATGTATACATAATTAATGTATACATAATTATATATGTATATATTATATAAATATATATAATATTTAATATATTATATAATATATATAATATATTATATATATAATATATTATATATATTATATAATATATATTATATATATTATATATACTTATATAATATATATTATATATATTATATATACATATATAATATATAATATATTATAAAGTATAAATATATATAATATATATAATACATGTATATATAATATATATTTATATGTATATATAATGTCTCTATATTTTATCTATATATTAAACATATATTTATATAGACATTTAAGACATTTGACATTATAAAAAAGACTCATGGAAAATGTTAGTGACTTGTCAAAATATTTTTAAAGTGTTCTATAAGTTGAGAGGAATTTATACTAATACAGAGTTCTAGAAAATAGTAAGAAATCATAAGTTCTTCATGTGCAAAAAAAATCTACTAAACCTAAAACAAATATCATATAACTAGAAATAAACATAATGTTTTAATGACTACTGATATATTTATAGGTAGAAAGAGCATAAGACAATTTTTTTTTTTTGAGATGGAGTCTCGCTGTGTTGCCCAGGCTGGAGTGCAGTGGTGCAATCTCAGCTCACTGCAAGCTCCACCTCCCGGGTTCACACCATTCTCCTGCCTCAGCCTCCCAAGTAGCTGGGACTACAGGCACCCACCACCACGCCTGGCTAATTTTTTGTATTTTTAATAGAGATGGGTTTTCACTGTGTTAGCCAGGATGGTCTGGATCTCCTGACATCGTGATCCGCCTGACCTCGTGATCCGCCCGCCTCAGCCTCCCGAAGTGCTGGGATTACAGGAGTGAGCCACCACGTCTGGCCCAGACAATATATTTTTAAATACATAAGCAAAAATTAATGTTTTGATAAATATATTAGAAATACTTAAAAATAAACTATAAAATAAATTTGAATATATTTATTGACACTATTACAAAACAATTATATTGCACTATTGGCATCCTACATAGAATTACAAAGCAAGCAGTATGTTGAAATTAACTTGACATAATTTTTATACAGGTAGTTAGGGTAGATCAAGGCAAATATTTTGCCAAACTTGATGCAAAATAACACATCAAAACTATTTCAAAACCACACTTCTATGCTATTTAGCCAGCGTATGTATCACAGCATGCATGTTTGTATAGATTAAGCAACAAGAAAGCTTTATTTAAAACTACTATTTCAGTAATTGTCATAGTCACATAAATGGCAGTAAGGTAGTTTTACAGAATTGCAAAAACCTCATTTTTTATCTCAAAACCTTGAAAAATAATAATTTCAATGGTAGGAATCCCATCATCAACAAATACTGCAAAAGAATATCACTGATGAAATCCATGATGATACCTATCATCATTACTATTTGATTATCGAAAACTGCATGTATTCTATTAGAAACTGTAACATCATTTGTATTCAAAAAATAAATTATCCTCAGTAACCCAAAAGTTCTTACCTATTTGGAAAAAAATGATACATGTCGTGCTCAGGACCATGCTGTAGAAAATAGCATTTCAGAGCAAGTGACTGCAGCTCAGTCATGTTGTGAGTGAAGCCTGTACTTCAGATTTCCCAGAGTGTTTATTTTTCACAGGAGCCACTCTATCCAACCGTCTCCCCAAATATTCACCCAGCAGGTGGTCTAAAAGTAGAAGTTACTAAAAGTAGAAGTTTATTAATTCTGGAGAGGCCAACAGATGAGGTGCCAAAATCCAAGATTGCACTTATGTAGCTGACTAGTGAAGAAGGTCAGTGATGGAGACACAAAAGTTCCTATAACTTGATCATCCATCTGCATTGTAGGTACATTGGACACATTATTAAATCAGAAGATATTGCCATACTTTGACAACTGGTCTTTAATTTCCATCATGAAGCCAAAAAATTTTGTCTGACACAAATCAGCATAATAACTACATTTGTTCTCTTTTATTAATGTGTATTATATTACTCTAATAATTGGTAATTTATCAATGACCAAATGATATTTTGTGTAATATATCCCATTTGACACAGCTGTATTTCATGTGACTTCCAAATGTTCTAAATTACTCTTTCCTAAAATTTATTGGTTTCTAGTAAAATATTCTTTTAACCTTTTTTCCTCAGCTAATATTTTGCTGATTTATCTTTTTTTAAATTTCAAACTCTAGCTTCAAACCTGCCATCTTTACCGGTATGAATTTCTATTTTTGAAAACCAAATAAGCTCAGCTTAATAGCAATTTATCGAAAGCTAGCTTGGAGTTGTGCGTGCAACTGCTTGGAGCACAAATGTAATAAGAAAATAATTGTGGAGAATTATAATGAGAAAAGTACCAATAATTCAGGCGATTAATCTTCTACAAAAGAAAGGATAGTTCTTTCTATGAAGCCAGTGATAAACAAATGCTATAGGAAGGAGAGGAAAACAGCAATCAGTGGGTTCATGTCTAGTATTTTCTCTTTTCTTCATTAACTCAAGCGCTGAGAATAAAAGGATGGGAATTTTGTAGGAGATTAGACTGGAAGAGTTACGGTTTGATTCGTTCTTAATGTTAATCATTTTCACATTATAAATTTAGTTTTGCTCAAATGTATTTAATTTAATTTGTTAAAATCAATGTTATCCCATAAATGTCTTAAGCAGATCAGTTTGCTTTTTTAATATGAATATATTTTTAAAAAACCATTTATTTTAACTTCAACTTTGAAACATTTTTCTTAAAGACCTTTCTTTAATTTATCTCACACTTCCTGGCATTTAGAATGAGAAATAGATTTCCTGTTTCTTAATCTAATCCTTTATGTTATTTTTATACTTTTTAGTACTTAAATACAAATTTTCTCATCATTCAACTACTTCTGAAAAATTCTCAGATTTTGAATAAATTAATTTGTGCTATTGTTGTAACAAGAACAGGAAGAATTACATCTTCAACTTTAGATAGGAGAATTTAAATTTACATCTGCTGTAGATATGTCAACAAAATTATCTTAGGGGATCTCTTTTGCATTTGACTTTTGGATTGGGAATTTTGTGATAATGCAAATCTCACAAATTTTAATATCAAACCTACATTAGGGCAGTGCAGTAGTATTAATTTGCCTAAGAGCCTGGCAGAGAAAAACATGGTTCTTGATATGTTCCTGTATTGGTGGGTAGATTTTTTTTTTCTCTCACTTTTCATTCAGTGTGTATCCTTCATGGTCAAACTTTATGTGATGACTTAACTTTCAGTATTATTCCTGTGGTCTACACGTGGGAATTAATACGCAATTAATCATAAACCTGGGGTGAGTGGCTGGGAATGTCAGCTTACAAGTACATGTCCAATATTTATCTTCCACTTCATTCCTAGCCTTCGTTTATTTTGGGGGCATTAGCTGTTTGCTATGCTTAATACCTACTGGCCAGATTTCCAAGGGGTTTGTAACAAGATGACTGAAATAATTGACCCAAGTCACGAGGTATTTTGTAACTAAAGCAGAATTTTTACTCTTTTAAATCATTGTTCTTTGAGATATTTTCCTGCACAATTGTAAAACATAAAATATGATTATTTTTCTTACTCATGAATATCCATCCTCCATATATATATGTATGTGTGTATATATATATATGTGTGTGTGTGTGTATATATATGTATATATGTATATATATGTGTGTGTATATATATATGTATATATATATGTAGAGAGAGAGAGTTGGATAGTTTCTGGGTTGTCTAGTTTATTGAGATAGATAGATAGATAGACAGATAGAGAGGGATAGCTAGCTATATAACTCAAACTTTTTCATACCTGCTTAATATCGCATAATATACATATGCCAAAATTATTTAGCTATTTTCCTCTTCCTGAACATTTAGATATGGTTTTTGCTACTACAGTTATAAATACTTCTTAATCTAGAGCAGTTTTATGTTCATAATAAAATTAAGAGAAAGGTACAGAGATTTCTCATTTACCCTCTTCCTCCACACATGTATAATCTATCAACACCATTATCAATATTCTTCATCAGAGTGGTACATTTGTTACAACTGATGAATCTACATTGCCATATCATAATCACCCAAAATTGATAATATACATTAGAACACACTCTAGATGTCATACATTCTATGGGTTTGAATAAATGTATAACACATGTATCCATTATAGTATTATGTGGAGTATTTTCACTGCCCTAAAAATATTTCATACTCCCACTCTTTCTCTCCACCTCACTCCCCCAGGAAACCACAATTTTTTGCTGTCTCTAAAATTTTATCTTTTCTCGAATGTCATATATTTAGAATCATACTGTATGTAGCCTTTTCAGATTGAACATCTTTTACCTATTTATATGAACTTAAGTTTCCTCCACCTCTTTTAATGGATTGATAGCTAATTCCTTAGTGCCAAATAATATTTCATTGTTTGAATGTACCGCAGTTTATTTTTTTTATTTGCCTACTGAATCATATCATGGTTGCTTCCAAGTTTTTGTAATTATAAAAAAGTGGCTAAAACATCCATAAGAACATTTATGGTGTGGGTATAACTTTTCAACTTTTGGGATAAATACCAAAGAATACGTTTACTAAATCATATTGCAAGACCATGTTTAGTGTTGTGAGAAACCCCCAAAATGTTTTCCACAGTGGGAATACCATTTTTCACTCCTAGCAGCAACGATGGCCATCCTGGCCAGTATTTAGTATTGTCAGTTTTCTGGATTTTGGCCATTCTAACAGGTGTATAGTGATATCTCATTTTATTTTTAATTTGCAGTTCTCTGATGACATGTGATGTGGAGGACTTTTTTATATGCTTATTGGACACCTGTATGTTTTATTTGGTGAGATGTCTGTTAATGTCTTTGGTCCTCTTTTTAAGTGGGTTTATTGTTTTCTTCTTACTGTTGAGTTTTAAGAATTCTTTGTATATTTTTGGATAATACCCTTTATCAGATGTCTTTTGCAAATATTTTCCTCCAGTCTGTTTCTTGTCCTCCCATTATTTTAATAGTGTTCTTTGCAGAGCAGAAGTTTTTAATTTTAATGAAGTCAGCTTACCAATTGTTTCTTTCATGGATTTTGCCTTTTGTATGTGTCAAGCTTGTTTAACCCATGGCCCAATTGCTGCATGCAGTCGAGGAAGGCTTTGAATGTGGCCCAATACAAATTTGTAAACTTTCTTAAAGCATTATGAGGTTTCTGTTGCAACTTTTTTTTTTTTAGCTCGTCAGCTATCATTAGTGTTAGTGAATTTTATGTATGGCCCAAGACAATTCTTCCAATATGCCCCAGAGAAGCCAAAAGATTGGACACCCCTGGTATATGTAAAAAGTTATCCCTATAACCTGATGCCAGCTAAGTTTTACTCTTATGTTATTTCTAAGAGTTGTATAGTTTGGGGTTATATATTCAGCTCTATGATCAATTTTTAGTTATTTTTTGTGAAGGGTAAGGTCTGTCTCTAGATTTATTTATTTATTTTTTTTTGCAAATAGATGTCCAGTTGTTCCAGCACCATCTGTTGAAAATATGATTATTCTCCATTGCATTGCCTTTGCTACTTTGTCAACGATAAATTGACCATATTTATGTGGGTCTATTGCTGTGCTCCCTATTCTGTTCCATTAAGCCATTTATGTTCTTCTACTAATACCACATTGTCTTGCTTTCTGTAGCTTTACAGTAAGTGTTGAAGTCAGATAGTGTGAATCCTCACTTTGATCCTCTCTTAAAATATTATGTTGGTTATTCTCTGTCTTTTGGTTCCCCATATAAACTTTTGAACTGGTTTGTTGATATCCACAAAATAGCTTGCTAGGAATTTGATTGTTCTATATATTCAGTTATTTCCTTATTTTTTTCAACAGAGTTTTGTAGTTTTCCTCATATTGATCTTTCATATATGTTGTTAGATTTATCCCTAAGAACTTTGTTTTTGCATGCTAATATTAGTGGTATTGTGTTTTTAATTTCAAATTTCACTTGTTCATTTGTGTTATATAGGAAAGTAATTGACATTTGTATGTCATCCTTGTATCCTGTAACCTTGCTGTATTTGCTCATTTGTTCCAGTAAGGCTTTTTGTTGTTGTTGTTAATTCTTTTGGGTTTTCTACGTAGATGATTATGTCATTTGCAGAAAAGACAGTTTTATTTATTTCTTCCCTATCTATATATCTTTTGTTTTGTTTTCTTGTTTAAGTGCATGAGTTAGTACTTCCAGTATGATGTTGAAAAGGAGTGGTGAGAGGTGATATCCTTGCCTATTCTGATATTATTAGGAAAGCTTCCAGTTTCTCATTATTAAGGGTAATGTTAGCTGTAAACTTTATAGATATTAAATTGAGAAAGTTACCCTCTATTTCTAGTTTACTGACAGTGTTTATCATAAGTGAGTGTCAAATTTTGTCAAATGCTTTTTGTGTTTTTACTATGATTATATGATCTTTCTTTTATAAACATAGCCTAGTAATATGATGGTTTACATTTATTAATTTACTAATGTTGAACCAGCTCTGTATACTTGGGATAATTTTCACTTGGCCATGGTGTATAATTATTTGTATACATTATAATATTTGATATACTAATATTCTATTGATAATTTTTCACATCTATATCCATAAGAAATGTTGATATGCAGATAAATTGTCTTGTCATGTTTTTGTCAGCTTTTAGTAAATAGGCAATGCTGGCCTCATAGAAAGAGTTAAAAAGTAATCTATCTGCTTTTATGTTTTGAAAGACAATGGGGAATTGGTATAATTTATTCCTTAAATGTTTGTTAGAATTCACTATGGAACCCACCTGGACCTGCCTGGTACATTCTGTTTTGAAACATTATAAATTATTGATTTTATATATATATATATATATATATATGTGTGTATATATATATATATATGTATATATATATATAGAAGTATCTATATATATATAGAAGTATCTATATATATATAGAAGTATCTATATATATATAGAAGTATCTATATATATATAGAAGTATCTATATATATATAGAAGTATCTATATATATAGAAGTATCTATATATATATATAAGTATCTATATATATATAAGTATCTATATATATATAGAAGTATATATATATATATAGAAGTATATATATATATATAGAAGTATATATATATATATATATATATATATATATATATAGAAGTATATATATATATAGAAGTATATATATATATATATATATGGGCTTATTCAGCTTCCCTATTTCTTATTTGTAAATTTTGGCACATTGTTTCTTTTAAAAAACTGATCCATTTTATCTGGAGTATATAATATGAGTTATTTATACTATACTTTTATTATCCTTTTGGTGATCATTAAATACATAGTGATGTTCTGTGATTAGTAATTTGTGTCCTTTTTTAGTTTGCCTTGAAACATTTTTTAAATAATTGAATTTCTGTGAAAAAAAGAATATCAGATTGCCTTCAAAACAGGTTGTGTGGAGTATCTAACATTTATAACAGTAATGTGATTTTCTTTTTTTCTGAAATTTGGTAAAGTTTAGACGGTGCTTAGAATGTTTGCCAAACAGGTGGATGGAAAATATTTTGTAATTTCTGCTGTAGCTTAGAGTTATCTGGATCCTAAAAATTGTACATTTCTTTGTCAATTTTTATTTATTTATTTATTTTTATTTTAGAGACAGGGCCTTACTCTGTCACCCAGGCTAGAGGGCAGTGTTTCAATCGTAGCTCACTGCAGCCTGAAACTTCTAGGCTCAAGTAATTCTCCTGCCTCAGCCTCCTACGTAGGTAGGACTACAGATGCACACCACCACACCTGGTTAACTTTTTAAATTTTTTACAGAGATGGAGTCTTGCTATGTTGCCCAGGCTGGTCTCAAATTTTTGGCCTCAAGCTATTCTCTCGCCTTGACCTCCCAAAGTGCTGGGATTACAGGTGTGCATAATTATACCTAACTCAGAAAAACTCTTATATTAATGACAGATGTACATTTTTAAAATGTTTTGACTATTATTTTACATTTATATTTTGTATCTGTTTTATTTAAAAGGAGATATTATCAATATTAGAAATATTCATACTTGTCTAAGCTACATATTTCTTGCTTTTTTTAAAAGTCTTCCTTTTTTAAGTTTTCTTATCTGTATTAGAAATATTCATACTTGTCTGAGCTACATATTGCTTGTTTTTTTTTTAAAGTCTTCGTTTTTTTAAGTTTTCTTATCTTACTTAGGATGTCCTCCTTCATATTAAACTTATTTTAAGAGCTTAGATTAGATTATTATCTTTTTTGAATGCAAATATAATTTATAAAAATGTTCTGCAATATAAAATTGTATAAAAATACAGCAATTTTTTTCTATTCCATTTTTGCTTTATTTTAACTTTGAGACTGGGTCTTTCTCTGTTGCCCAGGCGGGAGGGCAGGGGTGCAATGACTGCTCACTGCAACCTCTGCCTCCCGGGCTCAAGCAATCCTCCCACCTCAGCCTCTTGAGTAGCTGGGACTATAGGCATGCACCCTCATGCCCAGCTAATTTTTGTATTTTTTGTAGAGATGGGGTTTTGCTATGTTGCCCAGGCTGTTCTGGAACTTATAAGCTCAAGCCATCTGCCTGCCTTGACATCTCAAAGTACTGGGAAAACAAGTGTGAGCCACTGTGCCCAGCCTTCTATTCCATTTTTATTGATTGATTTAAAAGCATGCTTCAGGTTTCTAAAATAAGAAACAATTGGTTACTATAACAAATATTTTGGGATATTTTAATATTTATATACATATTATCTATCTATCTATATATACATGCTATGTTTGAACCATATCTATTTTTTTCTTTTTCATTCTTTTCCTTCTGACCATACAAAAATAAAGATTAATTTAAAAGAACCACGAAAGTATTGCTATGCTAATTTCTGAATTACAGAAACAAAATATTAAGTATTGTTTCAGAAAATTTATTTAATTATGTGTATTTTTCAATGTAATAAAATGTACTCTAGCTAGTGGTTTGATGATATAAATAATTCTGTGAGAGATATTTTTATCTGCTTCCTTTGCTCTTCCACTCTTTTTTTTACACAATAAGTTTGTTGAAAGGAATTGTGGGTCCAAGGTAGGAGGTTTAGTTTTCAAGCTTTTTGATACATATTTCTAAACTGCCATTCAAAATATTGTGCCAATTTTCATTTCCATCAGTAAATACATGAGTGTGCTTTCTGACTCACAGCACTGAAAATTATCATTACTAAACTTAAGCAAAAAATGCAAATGTACCTTACTGTCTATTAACATGTCACTTACTTTGGAAGCAATGAAAATACCCTGTGAGTACATAACTACATAAATTGTGAAACAAAATACAACTAATTATACAAATAAAATATATAGATTTCCACTTGCTGATACATCAAGATGTTCAAAAACTCTTGAGTTATATAAAGTTTCGTCACCATATGCCTATAATTTCAGTTTAGTCATATATATATTCATTTATATACGAGGCTTTGGGTTTAAACAACATAATGTAAGTGGATGCTAATGATACATGGTAAGTGGGTGGGTAGCCTTGACTTTAAAAGCTACATATTTATAACCTATTCACTAATTTTTCCAACAAATCTATGTATGACTTACTAAAGATATAATAAAGATGAAAAACAGAGAATCATATTTACAAAGACACAATTGATAAGCAACACAAACACATTATGTCATTTACTCATCCTCCTTAAAAGAGCCTGCCTTTGCATGCTAATAGATTCTGAAATAGGTAAATTCAATCCATTGGAGCTTTAATGGTAAAGTGATTCTAATGCAAAGAGCAATCCCTATGGTGTACAGAAAATTTGGGGTGATCTTAGCTAGTAAAGAGCATTTCGAAAATGTTGTGGAAGGCACTGGAAACAAAGTGGGCCCAGATCTGATCTCAGGGTACTCCGTCTCCTGGCACTGCTAGTTCCAGTTTGTCTAGGTCACCAGAGTTGGGCTGAAAAAATTTTAAGCAAGGAACTCTAAAGCACTAGAAACCCTGTGATAGGGGTCCCTGATCAGGTCCTTGCTTGATGAAGTCTCAGGGTGGTCTTTATCATGCATACAAATGAGGTTATAACACCATGCTCAAGTTATCGTGGCTTCCTTACTTTGTACATATTGGATAGTTCCCAGAATAAGAGAGCTGTGAAACCTAATTGACAATTTAGGAAGTTTTTTAATACCATGTTTGCTAATGAGATGTCATTACAAATTTTGTAATGTTGTGAAATGTAAGTGCTTTTATTGAGCAGGGTGCATACTAATTGCATAGAAAAATCTACATAGTATTTTTTAAGAAGGTATTGTGAGACAGTGTTAATGAAAAGAGTCAAACTGTGAAATATTTGAAGAATTTATTCTGAGGCAAATGTGACCAATGACCCATGATGCAGTCCTCAAGAGCTCCTGAGAACATGTTCTGGAGTTGGTCAGGGTTCAGCTTAGTTTTATATATTTTAGGGAGACATGAGACATCAGTCAAATACATGTAAGATGTACCCTGGTTCAGCCTGGAAAGGTGAGGCAACTGGAAGTGTGGGGTTCCACGTCATAGGTAGATTCCAAGATTTTATGATTGGCAATTAATTGAAAAATTTAAGTTATTGCCTAAAGACTGAAGAATATCTGGATTAAAATAAGAATTTGTGACCAGGGTTTTATCATGCAAGCAAAGCCTCCAGGCAGCAGATGTGAGAGAGACTAGATTGTAAATGTTTCTTATCAGACTTGAAGAGTCTATTTCATCAGTAATTTCAGAATAGAGGAGGGTATAATGAAGCATGTTCAACGCCTCCCTTCCCATCACGGCCTGAACTAGTTTTTCAAGTTAGCTTTGGAATAACCTTGCCAAGAGGAGGGGTCCATTTGGATGAATGAGAGGCTTAGAATTTTATTTTTAATATACATTCTCCCCTTTTTGGCCAAGATTTGCTAGAAGCAACATCAATGGCCACCAAATTTTTACTTTGTCCCATAGCATAGCTGAGGTGGAATGGCTGCCTGCCCCGGGCCCATCCTGTCCCTTGGTGGGACCCTTCCCTTGCATGGCCAAAGACTTACATTTAAAAGATTTATGACCAATTCAAATGATCTAGGCCAGATGGGAATGGACATGAACAGACATTTGTTAACCCTTAAATAAATTAAGCAAAAAGGCAACAAACAAAAAGCCAAGGACAAGGTTACAAAGCTGACTAAGCTAGTGTAATCTTAGTTTTTGTTACAGGCCTATAGCAATTAGCTATACAAAACATAAGCAATATTAAAGACTTTTAGCTAAGGGATTTTAGAGATTGGTGCTGTAATGCCTTTTGCAGTCTTTTAGTAAGTTTTAACTATCAGTATTATACCCGGAACGCTTTGTCACAAAATGTTTTTATATTCTCTCAGTAATAATTTTCTTTTAATTTTATAAGAAGCATAAAATTCTTTAAGGTTGGGTTGGATGAAAATATGCCAGATAATAGTTCAAAAGAAAGTCTCTTGTTTTACCAACTGTTTAGACATCTGTGTACCCACCTACATTTGATTGGGGTGGTCTGAACTAATTCTATCCCTCAAAACCAGCCCCTTTTAATCTCATGTGTCCCCCTTTTCCATGATAGTTCCTGGGCCTAGAGGGAGGGCACTTGTATAGTTTTAGCAGCAGGGAATTTGTGTGAAAAAGTTTGTTTTCAGTGGGATGCCAACTGGGGGAGATTTGCACCTTTAGCCTTCAGAATAGCATTATTCTGGTTTCCTTGGAGGTAAAACAAGGAGAGATAAATAACATTAATATTTGACAATTAAAAGATTACTTGTGTGTCAGAACAAAAAAGAAAACTATTCCATGAGGGCATCAACTAAAAATGTGAAGAAAAGTTATAGTCTTGTACTCTTTAGAGGATCATTGTAGCCAAGAAATAATTCATGATTCAATCTGCACTCAACAAAAAAAGTCAGGGCTGAAATCCAGTAACAAGTGTTACACTCTTCCTTTGAAACAATTTCTTTCTAGCCCTCCTTTTCTACTAAAGAGAAATTATATTATTGTAAGAACAATTTGTGTGCATAGTTAGTTTTAGGTTTATTACACTTGGCTTGATTATTCACATCAAGTGCAATAAGAATTGATTGGCCATATAGGCCCTTTTTAATTTGGCTTTATTGGAACTTTACCTACAAATATATTATTCTAGTCAAAGTCTTGGTAAAATAACAAATGTCTTCAAATGTACTGTTTGAAAAGAAAGGACTCTTACTAAACTTATGCAAGTAACTATATTGTCATAAAGTTAAGAACAGTTTCCAAATTTGGAAGAACTCAGGTAGAGAGAAAGGTAAACTTGTTCACAAAAATGTAACTTGCCCAAATGCTGTAAACTATAAGTTACTCCAAAGAAAAGAATTTCCTTAACTCCCCTTTAACAAAAGCAGAAGACTCTCAAACAAAATGTCTGCCTTTGGAACTGCCATTCACATGCTAAGCAGCTCTTGTTACATGAGATCTCTTTATCAGGCACTGTAGGAACCTAGAAGCTTGTCACATAGTTAGAGTAAGTCTTAGGGGAAAAAAAGAGGCTCCCTGCTTTTGAGTATCTCCTCCTTGTACCCCAGGTTGCAAGATCCTAAGTAAACCATTTTTATTTTATCATGGAACTCTTTTAGACACCGTGATTTTCATTAGCATAAGGATCGCTTCAGGTAACATTCCACAACAAGGTAGTAAATATCTCTCAAATTGAAATTCTCTACTCTGGTAATTGCCATTGGGAAGTACTCACAGTTTTTTGCTATAAGTCACAATAAAAGGTCCACAAAGGGCTCTGAAGTGGAGGATTTGTCCTGACTAGCACTTCAGCTTTTACCCTATATTCTGTAGATTCAGGCAATCTTACTAGATCTCATTTAGTGTGTATAATTAACATTTCTCAAAGGGAAGATCTACATGCCTTCAGTTTTATACTACAAGATAGGGGGACATCCCCCAGTAAGGTAAAATACCCACTTTTAGAACACATTTAGGTAAAGGAATCACAACTACCTTGCATAAAGAATGTTTTTTAAGCATCTCAAATTTTATAATTGTAACAATCTATACATTTCTATGTTCTGATCCCAGGGAACTTTTCTACCACTAGACCATTTTACCCATTTTAGTGAAAAAGAATTTGGGTTCCCAGCAGGTGGTTGAACCAAGGGACTCAGGCTCAGAAAGATGATAATACTAATAGGCTTTATGTCCCCACCCAAATCTCACCTTGAATTATAATAATCCCCACGTGTCAAAGGTGGGATCAGATGGAGATAATGAAATCATGGGACTGATCTCCCACATGCTATTCTCATGATAGTGAATAAGTTCTCATGAGATCTGATGGTTTCTTAAGGGGTTTCCTCCTTTGCTCAGCTCTCATTCTTCTCTCTCCTGCCACCATGTGAAGAAGGATGTGTTCGCTTCCTCTTCCGCCATGATTGTAAGTTTCCTGAGGCTTCCCCAGCCCTGCAGAACTGTGAATCAATTAAACTTATTTTCTTTATAAATTACCCAGCCTTGAGTATGTTGTGATAGCAGCATGAGAATAGACTAATACAAATCCCAATCTACAAAATGGAACAATTCCTTTTTATTATACCCTCTGGTTTGAACAGTTACTTGGTTTTGTCCTCCACCCACATTGACTTATCCTTTTGGTAAACACAGGTCTCAGAAGTAACTTTTTGTTGCCCCGGTTTCAGTTATTTTGGTAGATAGCTTTGAGGCTAGTACCCTGAGCTGACACAGACCCACATCTGAGCTTGGTCTAGCCTTAAGGCTCAACCAGGACTCCTTCACTTTCATTTCAGGTATTTACAAATAACAATAATTTTAAAATAAAGAAGAAAATTATATAGTACAACTAAATGAATAAAGAGAAAAATAAAAAGATTGGGAATGAGAAATCTTAATCCTTGTGTGACCATGTGGTCACTCATCTTGAGCTGAAGCTAGGCTGCATTAGTTACTAAACATAAAAGTTTGGGCTGGGCGTGGTGGCTCATGCCTGTAATCCCAGCACTTTGGGAGGCCGAGGTGGGCGGATCACGAGGTCAGGAGATCGAGACCATCCTGGCTAACACAGTGAAACCCCGTCTCTACTAAAAATACAAAAAATTAGCCGGGCGTGGTGGCAGGCATCTGTTGTCCCAGCTACTCGGGAGGCTGAGGCAGGAGAATGGCGTGAACCTGGGAGGCGAAGCATGCAGTGAGCCGAGATAGCGCCACTGCACTCCAGCCCAGGCGACAGAGGGAGACTCCATCTCAAAAAAAAAAAAAAAAAAAGTTTGAATATTTTGCTTTTTTATTATTTTTTTGGATTTCCTTATGCATTCAGTGAACTAACTCTCTGGGGCTATGGGTATGATTCATCTATAAATTCCACTGGTAACTTTCATATTTGATGACTGAATACAGCCCAGCTGCAGCCCCTGAAGGTGGGTGACCACGTGGTCACTCAAGAGTTCGGATTTCTCATTCCCCATCTTTTTATTTTTCTCCTTATACATTTAGTTTTAATAAATAATTTGCCATTTATTTTAAAGCGACTCTTAGTCTCTAAACTAGAAAAAAATTACATTTTCCTTCACAAAAACCACATCCTTGTGTTTTTATAAATGTCACCAAAAACACCTTTTACTCTCCTGTAATTTTTAACTCTTAGTAACCCCAATTCCCAGTGACAAAACTGAGGTTACTTAATTTATCATAACATGACTTTAAAATTTTAGCTACAGGAGAGAATTTTGAGATTAAATTTACCAAATGAATCTTACCAAAAAATACCAAGGTAATTCTAATTAAAAGGCACCTGGGATAGCTGATGTTAATCTGATAAGCACTTACCTTTCTTTAAGCCAATAGCTTAGAGCTTGTTCCTATAGTTTAGTAGTGAAATATCACTTCTACCTGACACATATAAACATATAGATATAACAGACATACAGAAAAGGCAGGTGGAAAAGATTTTCCATTTACCTGTTTTCAAAAAATTCCCTCCAATACTTTACATTATTAATTTAAAAAAAAGTTATAGGAGATAAGATGTGGAGGAGAGAGTTACCATCTCAGGGCTTTTCAAAAGAGAGGAATTTCTGAAGTAAGAGTACAGTAGAAGTTGAACTTCTAAGATATTAATCTAAAGAATTTCTAAAAGAAACAGATTGTAAAATTTAAAAACTAAAAATTTATATTATTAAGAATAAGTCAATATTTTAAATAAAATCTTGTTCTAATCAAATATTTAGTTTTGTATTACTGTATTTTAATATCGAAGTCTATTTTCTAGAAAGACTATTATAATATGTTTTTGATAACAGCAAACTTAATTAGGTAACTCTTTTTAAAAACTCTGGGGACTGTTGTGGGGTGGGGGGAGGGGGAAGGGATAGCATTAGGAGATATACCTAATGCTAAATGACGAATTAATGGGTGTAGCACACCAGCATGGCACATGTATACATATGTAACTAACCTGCACATTGTGCACATGTACCCTAAAACTTAAAGTATAATAATAAAATAAAATAAAAATACATAAATAAATAAATAAAAAATAAAATAAAATAAAATAAAAATAAATAAATAAAAATAAATTCATTTTTTACACAGACTATTCAAATTATGCTTGGACTTTATTTGTGTTAAATATTCTCCTTTCATGAACAACTATTTCTTTTATTTTAGGACAAAAAATCCACAATACAAAATTTTTTCTCATATAAAATCACTTTTAACTTTTCTTGCCAAAAATACCTCTTTATAGCTATAACTTTCTTTATATCTCTCTTATTTCCTGGTTCATTTTACTTTGTTTTATACATAACCTCTAAATAACCTTTGAACTAGACAAAAATTATTTACCTTTAAGAAGAACACACTTTTAAAAATGGTTTTTTTTTTCAGAATTTTTTTTAACTTATTTTATTATTATTATACTTTAAGTTTTAGGGTACATGTGCACAATGTGCAGGTTAGTTACATATGTATACATGTGCCATGCTGGTGTGCTGCACCCATTAACTCGTCATTTAGCATTAGATATATCTCCTAATGCTATCCCTCCCCCCTCCCCCCACCCCACAACAGTCCCCAAAGTGTGATGTTCCCCTTCTTGTGTCCATGTGTTCTCATTGTTCAATTCCCACCTATGAGTGAGAACATGCAGTGTTTGGCTTTTTGTCCTTGCGATAGTTTACTGAGAATGATGATTTCCAATTTCATCCATGTCCCTACAAAGGACATGAACTCATCATTTTTTATGGCTGCATAGTATTCCATGGTGTATATGTGCCACATTTTCTTAATCCAGTCTATCATTGTTGGACATTTGGGTTGGTTCCAAATCTTTGCTATTGTGAATAGTGCCTCAATAAACATACGTGTGCATGTGCCTTTATAGCAGCATGATTTATAGTCCTTTGGGTATATACCCAGTAATGGGATGGCTGGGTCAAATGGTATTTCTAGTTCTAGATCCCTGAGGAATTGCCACACTGACTTCCACAATGGTTGAACTAGTTTACAGTCCCACCAACAGTGTAAAAGTGTTCCTATTTCTCCACATCCTCTCCAGCACCTGTCGTTTCCTGACTTTTTAATGATTGCCATTCTAACTGGTGTGAGATGGTATCTCATTGTGGTTTTGATTTGCATTTCTCTGATGGCCAGTGATGGTGAGCATTTTTTCATGTGTTTTTTGGCTGCATAAATGTCTTCTTTTGAGAAGTGTCTGTTCATGTCCTTTGCCCACTTTTTGATGGGGTTGTTTGTTTTTTTCTTGTAAATTTGTTTGAGTTCATTGTAGATTCTGGATATTAGCCCTTTGTCAGATAGTAGGTTGCGAAAATTTTCTGCCATTTTGTAGGTTGCCTGTTCACTCTGATGGTAAAAAAAAAAAAAAAAAAAAAGGTTTTCAATTATTATTAAATTAGAAATTAGAAATTCACCCAGACATTTAACTATCTATTATTTAATATAATATTAGATTCTAAATTATATGATGTTTGTTTATGAGAATTTATTCCATTGCATCTACCTGATTAATATATTTAATACTTTCCCTAGATTATTTATGAAAACTGTGATAGTCACCATTTAAAGTTATTTCACTGCTAACTATTTTAACCCTTTTATGCCTGAGGTTGCAGTTTTTTGAATTTTTGCAATCAGACGTTTGTGATGACATTGTGTAGTAGGATATAAATAACTCCCACATGCTTAGTGTTCCAATAATGGAACACTAGGCATAAATGGGTTTTAATAGCCTATGAATTTAAGGTTTTTACCTAAGTAGAAAACTAAGGTTAAATATATGGGCATTTTACAAATAACTCAAGATTTAGCTGTTTTCATTAAACCAGCAATAATTAATATCTTATTTATCAAAAATTATATAACCAAAAATCATTCTGTTGGGGGTTGAGTTTATAGTTTTATAACTCCTATGGCAAATTTTGACATGCTGTTTGGTTTTCAACTCAGAGGTGCATTCTATAGGGTCTTCTCCACTGCATTTTTCTTCCCAAATTAAACTCAATTGGCTTTTCTGCACATTTGCATGAGGAACTGAACTGTCATTTTTATTGATAAATGAGAGACTGAGTTTCCTCAGTTCCAAAGAGAAAGTGCGTTTTGCTTCTCTCAGCCAAAAGGCACCTTGGGTGACTAGTGGACAAGTGGGAGTGTCTGTGGTATTAACTCATTGCAACATGCAGTGGGCCTAAAGGGAACCCACAAAAAAATTAGTTTTAAAAAGGCTCATCCAGGAAACAGATATAGGAGCTGGTCTCCCTGTGTTTTGAGCCCTTTGGAGCTGTTAGACCTCTGGAGAAACTGCCACACATAAGAGGGTGGAAATGACTCAGTGGTGACACACTATGGAGTCCTGCCCACAATCAGCACACTTCAATCCACTACACTAAACCCTAGGTCACAGTTCAGTTATTCCTTTTAAGAAAAAACAAGTCAGAAACAAATAATCTGAGAATAAGGAAAGACAATGAGAGTAACCCCTGTCAGGCATCCTATTGGTTTTATGGTGCCTTTACTTGCAAGTGTTTCTGTAACATGAACATATTATGGTCTTTTTGTGCGCATTTTAAACTGATAGACAAATTAAATCAAGGAGAAATTCAGAGCCCAAAGGTTAACCTGCAACTATAGCATTCTTAAGCTCTCTACTTCTCTATTTTCTTTTCTGCCTGCTTTAAATCTGCTGTTACTTTTCTACTTAAATAAAAACCACAGTTTGGATCCAACCATTTTGTTTTTGTTGTTGCAAACTGAAGAGTTTGTATTAATATCTCATGGTTAGAATTCTGAAGTAAAACTATAGGATCTTTGTTTTTTTTGTGTGTCTATGTGTACGTACATATATTTTGTTATGTGTATTGGCCACAAGATACTGAAATGGCTAAAATTTAAAGAGTACTCATAAGTTAAATAATAAGCCCAAAGGCTTTTCAAGTTCATGTGACAAAAGTAAAATCTTTAGTAAGTAGTCTGATTTTAAAATTATTGGTAAAGTCATATTAGAAATGTCTTAAGAATTGTCAGCATTTTTGTTTGCATTTATCGATCAAGAAGTTTAATACTTATTCTTGAAGAATACTATAACGTTAACTCAGAAGTGTCTTTCTCTGCAGCAGTGGTTCTCCAAATTACATGCTCATAAAAAGAACTTGGAGGACCTGTTGAAACAGAGAAAGCTGAATCTCACACCAGAGATTCTGAGAGTAAGTCCAGATTGAGGGCCCAAATTTGCATTTCTAACAAATTCCCAAATAATGCTAATGTTGTTGGTCCAGAAATCACCTTTTGAAAATCACTGGTTTATAACCTTTACTCTTTGTTAATAGTCAATCTTCTTACCAATCTGCATTTTGTAATTGGGAACAAATATTTTTGGAGATCAGAGGGCTTAAACCAAAAACTATATGATATATTCCTTTTTATCTTGTATGAAATGACTGTATTAGAATAAATTTAATGTGTTCATTGTATTTCTGAAATATAGTGATACTGCAGAGGCATTAGAAGTTAGTTGTAATGGAAGTGGTTGATTGCAAATAGAATTAACAGTTGTTTTCGTTATTTGTTTTTGTTTCCTGTTTACGAGACAATGTCTCACTCTTTCACCTAAGCTGGAGTGCAGTGGCGTAATCACGACTCACTGCAGCTTCAACATCTGGCCCATCTAGGCCCAACTGATCCTCCCACCTCAGCCTTCTGAGTAGCTGGGCCTGCAGGTTCATGCCACCATACCCAGATAATTTTTTCAAATTATTTTTAGAAGAGATGAGGTATTGCTATGTTGTCCAGGCTGGCTTCAAACTCTTGGCTTCATCTGGTTCTCCCACCTTGGCTTTCCAAAGTTCTGGGGTTACAGCACAAGCTACTATGCTGAGCACAAGTAATAGTTAAGCTGTGACTATATAGGATGAGAAAAAACGTTCGATTTTAATAAGCAAGATTTCACTTGGGATTGCTATCATAAAATAAGGGTCTTTTGGAAATCACTGGTTGATTTTAGATAGTAGAGAATTCTCTTAATAAAAAAATGAAGATAAGGTAATAAAATTCAAAAAGAAATTCTAGAAAAGTACAGAAGACACAGGAAAAGAGAACTGCTATGCATTCATGAAAAAGAATGAGATCATGTCCTTTGCAGGGACATGGATGGAACTGGAGGCCATTATTTTTAGCAAACTAACATAGAAACAGAAAACCAAATACTGCATGTTCTCATTTGTAAGTGGAGCTAAATGATGAGAACACATGCACACATCGAGGGGAACAACACACACTGGGGTGTATCATAGGGTGTATGGTGAGAAAAGGGTGAGGATCATACAAAAGAACTAATAGGTACTAGGCTTAATACCTGAATGATGAAATAATCTGTACAACAAACCCCCATGATACAAGTTTACCTATGTAACACATCTGCATATGTAACCCTGAACTTAATATAAAAGTTAAAAAAGAAAAAGTGAAATATTTGTCATTGAAGTATGTAATATTTGTAATTATTAATAATATAGATGTGATATTTGTACCATTTTCTAAACAATAACTCAAATTTAAATTTTAATGCTGGTTCAAAAATAGAATCAAAATAAGGAAAGTTAATACATTTCACGATATGGCAGTAAAAATACATATTTTTGAAGCCATAGATAAAAACCTGCTACATGTTTTTTGTGTGTTCATCCTTAGAGACCTATTTATTGGTTGTCTTTTGTAATTTTTCTTACATCATAATGTACAATGTCTACATTAAATCTTTAATCACATAAAACATTTGAATCCATTTGTTTGAAGTCAATTTTTCAAAGTTTTCTCTGTTTGGGCCGGGCGCATTGGCTCAGGCCTGTAATCCCAGCACTTTGGGAGGCCAAGGAGGGCAGATCATTTGAGGTCAGGAGTTTGAGACCAGCCTAGCCAACATGGTGAAACCCAGTCTCTAATAAAAATACAAAAATTATCCCTGTGTGATGGCAGGGGCCTGTAATCCCAGCTACTTGGGAGGCTGAGGCACAAGAATTGCTTGAACCCGGAAGGTGGAGGTTGCACAGAGCTGAGATCATGCCACTCTAGTACAGCCTGGGCAATGCAGCAAGAATCAGTCTCAAAAAATTAAAAAATAAAAAAAGTTTTCTCTGTTTGAAAAGAAAATTTGCAACAATACATATTGCAAAATTGATTAAAAATTAACTTATTTTAAATAGACACAATAGCATACAGTATAGAATATCCAATTTTATTAATTCTATTTTGAATTTATCAGTAAAAAATAATTTCATAATCCAGAAATAATATTTATTTAAAAGTATTTTAAAATGTTATTTAATTTCAGACCATCCAGAAACTTAATCAAGTTAAGCAAAGAAATGTAAAAATATGATGAGCTAATAAAAATTAGAGGCTTTTACGAAGGAAAGTAAGATTTTTATAATTGAGACATAATATTGAAGAATCTATGATGGTAATATAGTAAAAGGTTCTAATGAAGGATGTGATTGACCACCCTGTAATTATCAGTACAGAAAATTGACAGGCTAGAGATACCATTGTCAGAGAGTAGGAATGGGTGGTACAAGCTGCCAGCCTTCAATTTGCTTCAATAAGTATTAAATAAGTTGATGTGAATAATAAAAACATAATGAGGGTGATGCATTCAGCAGACATTTTTTGAGCACTGACTATGCACAATACTATTCCAGGCATTATTTTCATAATGAATACACCACACTGAACAACACGATGCAGAACAAAATGTCACTGCTTACTTGAACTTGAAATCTAACAAAAACGAACAAAAATAAAGAGTATATGTGATAAATAAGACTCCTCCTCTTACAAGCAGAATAGAAAAAGGGGAATTGGGAGTGTTGCAGTAGGTAGGCAGGCCTTAATAGGTAGGGTAATAAAGATGAGGATTCAGTGTTTTATTGTAGTTAAGGAGTGGAGCTGGTATAAGGGCTGGTATAAGGAGCTGGGTGGGGCTGGTGGAGGATTGTATGGTTATAACTTACTGCTGGCACCAACAGAGTGTGAGCTTTTTATCAACTTCTCCAGATGGTGGTACTTTGACACTGTCAGTACTCAAACATCAAAAATTGAGTTGGATTGTTTACTATAAATCCTCCCTGATGTTTGATGAATTTAATCAGTCATATTTCATTTAATGACATTTAAACTTGATTAAATAATCATTATGGTGCTCTATGAGGACTATAGCCTGAAAGGGGAAAGGATGGTAAAAATCCTGTGAGTTTCTTATTTAACAATCCAGCCTGGTGTATTTTGAGATACAAAATGAGTCTCTTAGTCATTATCAAAGATGTTTGGAATTTCAAAGTAGACAAGAAGTATGTGTGAAGCCTTGTTTTGTGGCTTTAAGCATGATCTGGATTTGTATTTTGGATATCTATAAGGCAAGAAATTCCTAGAGTTCATTTAGCCAAAAGGTGCTTCCTTGAACAAGTAATTGTTGCTGCCATTGCCTGGACCACACAGCCACACTATTGGCAACGGTGCAACAGAGTGTAAAAATGTATAGAAGGGTGGATTGTTGGCCAGGGCATCCAGGGCTAAGATCACTATCTGAAGTTTGCCTTATTGCACTGAACCTTGGTTCCTGCTCTTAATCATGACTTCTCCTACCTTTATTCTACCATTTGTAGTAATGACACTGCCAGCTATAGAGTATACAAACTCTCTTTTTTATTACTCAGTTGTTTGCAAGCCCTCCTTCCATCCCACTCTTTTGCCCCCAAGTAGCTAATGGCTTTTGGTGCAGTTAAGATCTTGTCTGCAGTGACTGTGTACAATGGCAGGGCTGGCGAGGTAATCCCCACGGGCAGTCAGATAAATATTTATTGTGTTCATTCAAATATGAAGGTAAACTGTGACTGATAGTTTATTCATCCAGGCACCAAATAGAACATATTAACTCTGACTCCAAAAAACGTAACAGTTACAAATTGACTGTAGTAATGGGAAGAATAAAAATATAGGCTACAAATTATGTCATTGACTGATTGGTGTGTTTCTTAATTTATATGATATTTTCAGTTTATTAACTAATGGATATTACATATATTATTTTTATGTATCAAATATTATGTTGAAAATACCTGATAGTTAACACAATAAAATTCCTCAATATACTAATGATGAACTGTTAATATTCCCCTCGTAAACCAGTTAATCAATTTCAACTTTATAAATTTCTAATGTAACAAATACAAATATATGACTTTTGTAACTTACCTGTAAATTAAAGTTGTCTTTTATTACTAATATCCTGTGAAGTAATAATTTTTTTCTTAAAATTATTTTGAGTGTTACTAATATAGCTACATCATTTTCTTTGTGATATATGTATGTTCTTAGAAAAGTAATATCCAATATTGTAAAAATATATTTAACTGGAAAAGTCATAAAAAGAAAAGAGGGATGAAAATACAGATGAACAGGTGAACATAATCTTTCTGAACGGCAACTGTCTAACTTACATGAAAGTCCCCAAATTATGTATCTTTGACCACAAAATTGATTTCTACGATCTTATTTTAAGAAAGTAATCAATAAATAAACAAAAGTTATTTTGTTTTTCAGTAAGTTAATCAGCATAAGAATTGTGAATATTTAGGAAAGTTTAAAAAGTCTAAAAGGCTTTTGATCATTGTTTTGGGGGTTAGTGATTGAAAAGTATGACTACTGCTACTGTACTCAAGCTCAAGAACAGGTACTCCAACAAAGAACCTATGCCACAGAAATCACTGTGAGTAACTGACTATGAGTAACTGACTTTATTATATAAAGGACAAGATGAGAACCAGGAGTTAGTTCTAAGCAAAGGAGGCCTTGGTTTGGGAAGGCAAACAAGTGTTAAAGTAAGTCAATAAAAGACTGATTTTAGTGAGCAAAAAAGTGAAAAAAAAAAAAAAAGCAAGCAAGCAAGAAGAAAGATACAAGGAGTCTGAACTAAAATTTAGAATTGTGATAAAGCCCAAGGATGGGTGAGGGTGAGGATCAATAATATATGTTGATATTATGGATTTATCACAGAAAACTACAAGGTAATATTCTGTATTCCATGTCACAAGATAAGAATAAATGGCAACATGTCAAATAAAACTATGTTCATAGATTAGTGATCTTGCTTGGTATATTTTCTTCACAGTGTAATTTGATGCAGAGAGTGATGGCAACAATTCTGTTTTGGGAGGATTTGTGGATCCAATGGACAAAATTGAGGGAAAACACAGAAATAGGAAATGACATGGTCACTTTACAGTTGGTTTTTGGAAATCAGAGGAAAAGAAATTACCTATCACTAGTAACTTTCATTTTAAGTGTTACTGCCTATAATTTTTCATTGTTTTTTGTCCCTAGAAAAATAAATAAATGTATATATATATAAATAATCATTTTTCTTCATCCTTAAATCATATCAAAACACCTAATGTAGCATTCAGTATTAATTTGAACAGCACAAGTGACACTTTAGTCCAACAAAAACATAAACAATATTTTTCTAAGAAAACAAAATAGAGTTTTCAACTGCTCCATTATTTTACATAGATCAAATAAGCATAATTACTTTTAAAAGCTGACTTCTCATAATCTGCACAGTATCAAACCGTGGCTAGGTAATTAGGAATTATATGTCATATTTCTAATTCACTTTTTTTTCAGAAGGCTATAATTTCTCAGGAATTTACAAACACAACATGCAGATTTTTTAAAATTTTGTGTACTATCGAAAGGGTTTAAAATTAATATAAACAACTAATGATCTGAGGACAAAAAGTCCAAAACTCTCAAAAATAAGAAGAGAAGCTTGTTGCAATCTGTAATGTATTAAGTGGGCTTGTAGAATATGTCACAATGATTCTTTTGTCCTTTCTGTTTTTGTGTAAGTGGTAGCTAAATTTACAATTCAATTGAAAATTATGTTTTCAAAATTTACCTTGGCTCAGTCATTCCCTAATCTTCCAACCACTTATTTCCTGCTACAATGCTGTCTTTTCTTTTCTACCTAAATACAAGAGGCACATATCCTCTAATCATCTTAATTCATGTGGTAGAGATTTTTTCTAGAAAGGACATTAGTTATAGTCCTTTTATAAAATGTTCTTTTATGTTTATTTGGACCAATGGATTGAAAGGGAAAGTTGGTCAGTAATCTGGCTACTAAATTCAAATAAAATTTAAAAGAGAAACAGATATTAATTGTGCATCTGTTACATGCCAGGACCTATGCTAGTACTAAAAGTTCAAAGAAGAAGGAACAAATAAATGAAAAAAATTGTTTGCTCAGGGCAGATAATAAAATCCAGATAACCAAACAATATAATAAAGTTTAGTGTAAACTGAATGGTAAAGTTGGTACATGCGTTGTGTATTTTAGGGAGGTAGGTCTTAATAGAGGTTTTGATGGATGAACTTTTGAAGGGTGATTCAGGACTTGCCAGTCAGCAAAGAAGGGAGTGACATTCCAAATAAACAATACAGTGTATATCAAATGTGGCAGAATTGAAATAGGACAGCTTGTTGGGGAATACCCAAAAATTTAGTATTGCTTTGATTAGCAGGTACTGCTGGTTGCCTGTCCCAATGCAATCCCTGTTTCTTCATAGCTGGCAGAAGTATATTTACTTGTACTTAATTTCTGGTGTTTTTATGAGTAGCTACTTTCTCAGAAAGAGAAGTCCTTGCCGTATCCATTACTTTGGGGATGCAACACTGTATGTTCATTAAATGGTTTCCTTTCCTTCTTGGCTGCATTAGAAAATAACATTTCTCAGAGCTCTTGCAACTAGGTGGTGCCACTATAAAATAGTTACTATAAAATAATCTTTAGTTACAGGAAAGGCAGTTTCTGGCAGATACAATGTTGTGTGTTTCTTACATAGTTTAATTGCCCCAGTGGACTCACAGGAAAACATCTTCCAGCTCCTTTGTATCTGGATAAGTCAATGACCACATAATGCACAACAGCTCTTACACTGAAGTCTCTTATGCTATCGATAGAGGCAGGAGACAGTCAAATGCTGTCTAGTCATGGTGTCTAGTCACGGGGGGCTTACCTAAACATGCCCATGATGAAAAATTCCAGAGCTGGGCACGCTGGCTCACGCCTGTAATCCCAACACTTTAGGAGGCCGAGGTGGGCGGATCACAAGGTCAGGAGTTCAAGACCAGCTTGGCCAACATGGTGAGACCCCATCTCTACTAAAAACACAAAAATTAGCTGGGCATGGTGGCATATGCCTGTAATTCCAGCTACTCAGGAGGCTGAGGCAGTAGAATTGCTTGAACAGGGACCCGGGAGGCGGAGGTTGTTGTGAGCCGAGATCACACCACTGCAGCACTCCAGCCTGGGCTACAGAGCGAGACTCTGTCTCAAAAAAAAAAAAAAAAAAAAGAAAAAGAAAAATTCCATCCTTAACACATGTGCAGTAAGGGAAATAAATCAATGTGGAGTGGCTCACACTAAAGGTTCACATGCGCACTGGAAGAATGGGGTGGAGCCACCAGAAACTTGTGCCTTATGCTGGAGAGGAGCCTGGCCTCTTTAGCTCATGTGTGGTGGCCTGGTATTCAGTTTTCTGAGCTGGAAAACCTGTGTGCAGGACCCCTATTTTTGTTGAGAGCTTTCCTTTTGTTTAATAAATTCTTCTCTCCTCACCTTTCAATGTGTCTGCATGCTTAATTTTTCCTGGTCATGAGACAAGAGCTCAGATTTTAGCTGAACTAAGGAGCAAAAATCCTGCATCACTTTGGCAGCGTGGATGAGGACATGAGGACGGGTGAGTAAAATGAGGACACCCAAACCTCTTTCACTTTTGTTTCTGAGCTTTCTCATCCTTGGACATTTCCTGGAAGCAGAGGAAACTGCCCCCACCATTCCGTCACTCTCAGGAGTCAGGAATGTCAGCCTTGGTCCAACCCAGTTTTTTCTATGGAATTTCCCTTCTTTTATATTTTGTGACTGTAATGGAACCTATTTTTTCTTTTACAATATTGGGGGTGTTTTGGCCCCACCCCAATGCCACAGGCATGCACTTGGACAGATAGGCAAATGGCAGCTCCCCACCACACCGTTCCCTCCCAGCTGGGGTGCATGTTCATGTCTGCCGCATATGCATATGGTGTCCAACACCCACACTAGGATGGACTGAGTCACAGCCACTGCCTGGGCCCTATGGTGGTCTCAGGGACCCAGACCTCACTTGGCCAGCTGGCCCACATTTCCCACCATGCATCCATGAAGTGTTCCCCTCCCCAGGTCAAGGGGTCCAGCTCCATCTGACAGCAATTAAAAGCTTATCTCCCTATTGGAGAAACCTATTTGCACAAGAATAAGAGGTTTCTTCCCCAGGCATCTTTTTTTTTTCTCCACTCTGTCAGTAGTTAACCCAGCTCTATATTTAAGCTTTTTTTTTTCTTTTCTCTACCCTATCAGCAGTTAGCACAGCCTTGTATTTAAGCTGTTATTTTTTTTCTTTTTCTCTACCAAATCAGGAGTTGGTTAGTTGGTGAGAAAGTAATTGTGGTTTTTGCCATTACTTAGAATGGTGGGGACTGCAGTTGCTTTTGCACCAACCTAATAAAAGAGCCCTGTGAGTAGAGGGGGTTCAGTATGCCAAGGATTTTTTTTCCTTTTGGAAGGCATCTTATTACACCAGGACCCCAATTCACAGGACAGACTTTTTCCCCTCCTTGTTTGAGAAACACCCAGTTCCACAGCTTCACCTTAGCATTCAGCTTATGATAATAAGGCAACAGTCAGTCAGATGAGGGAAACCTGGGACTTGATGAGTCCATGCACCCCCTGAGGCAGTTCTTTCATCCCAAACTCAATTCCAAGCTTCGATTGAAGCCCTAGGGGTAAAAAACAACCAAACAAACAAAAAACTGGATCTGAGGGATCCAGAAGCAGATATCAATGAAAGTTAAAAGGTGCAGCACAGAGCACAGGTGAGCGTGACTAATTTCTTTCAATTAAGCCAAGCCTCTTGTTTCATGGGTAAATGTCTTGCTATTATCCATGGCATAAATGAGGTCTAGGAAATTCAAAGGCTACTGACAGCAGAGGGAAAGGCAGCATGTAGGTAAGAATGGATAATCTCACCCCTTAGACCCCCGTTATCATGGGTGAAAGCGGCATGTGAAACCTTGTCAAGGTTGCCAGGACTCGGGGATATAAGGACAAAAGAAGGAAAGACAATGCTTTTTCTTTCTATCCCTCATGTACCCCAGGGATGCCTGGCTCCCCTTTTTCTGAGTACCTGTTCATCTTCAGTCCATCCCCCTTTTGAATGTATCCTGAACCCCTAAGCCTTCTTTGAAAAAGAAATGCCTTTTTCCTCCTTTGTCCTCTCTTCACAGATGGGTGTGTCCCCATACCAAGGGACACTCTGCTTGGATGCATCCTTCAAACTGAGAAAAGTTAATATCTGAAACCTTAAACTAGTTTGCTTAGAATTGAGCTTGGGGGAAGCATGACATGCCAGCAAATGGGTAAAATATTTTTTTACCAGTCAAAATTTTAACCTCTCTCTCCTTGGGCAGAGTGGTAAAAGGAATGATAAGAATCACTGTTTATATTCTCTGTAAAGTTTTGATTAATGAAAAAGGATTTATGGGGTTGGTCTTAAGCTGTAGACAATCTAGTGTGCTTTTGGTTTCTTAATTGAGGCTTGTTGGTTTCACCTGTAAGGTTACTGCTGATAACGTTCAAAAGCCAGAAATACTGGCTGCTTGGCATAATTAAAGTTGGGTAATATGGGATTGAAAAGGACTTTCTTAAAGAGTGCTCAGCTTAATTAAAAGTGGATATTCAAGTTACAGGTATATTTGAAAGGACTTTATCCTTTTCTCTTCTTGGACCTTGCTTTGCTGGAAAAAGTTGTTTTTTTTTCTTTCTCAGTAGATTAAATTACTTCTCTCCACTTTGCCTTTCCATTATTAATGCATGCAGGAGAGGCCCTAAGATAACTTCTAATGCCCTGGGACTCCTTGGGAAAAACAAAAAAGTGCCATGAATTCCATTTTGGGAGAAACTTCTCTTTTCCTCATGGAACCCCAGGAATTAGAGGCAGATAGATCTCTCTCAAAATCTGTTTTTGTCTTCCAGCTATGCCTGTTTATTAGGCCCTAGAAACTGCACTATCTCCTAGGTCTGCTCTTAAAGAGCCCCACCCAGAGACCAATAATCCTATTAAGAGATTGACAAATGAAAAATTTTATAACTATTGTATCTTCTTCTGTCTGTGTAGTTACATATGTGTTGTGTGTAATGTCTATAAAAAAGAGTTCTTATTAATTGTCCTAAATAAAAATAAGTGCTTAGGTCAAATATTTTTGAGGAAAAAATACAAGCTGTAATGCTTTTTAGTTCATATGACTTTAATCTTTGAGAAATAAAAACAGTCTTAAAGATTATTGGTAAAACACAAATGTCATTACAATGTAAGTAGGTGGCCTAAATTATATGGGTTAGATACTAGGTTTACTAAATGTTTTTAGGTTATAAACTGCTTCTTTAGCTGTTGAGAATTGTTTCACCTGCCTGCTTCACAATTCGTAAGGCCTGAGGACATATGGAATTAACCACTCCCTTAAATATGCTGGAAGCAGTCAAAGTTTATTGGCACCTAGTGTGTAATGAAAACAACTTACCAGATTTTACATTAAAGTTAAAAAAATGCTAAAGTTAAAAAATTGTAACATGTAATTGAGAGCACTGAAAAAATAGATTTACATGCAAGGTGTGTAAGAATAAAATATGCTTTTAGAAAAAAAGATTATAAGAAGGCATGGAAATGTAAATTTTTGCCTAGGGTTAAAGGATTGTTTTAAATTAGATAAGATAAAGCTAAAGGTTTAAGCAAGTTATGGAAGGTTTCTAAATTTAATCTTGCACAAAAAATTATGTGTGTGAACACTAAATTAAAAAGGGTATTATATGGTTTTTCTGTAAATTGGGCATTGAAATAGGAGCAGAAGTTTTCCTTAAGGCATTAATCTACTCTTTAGTAAAATTTGTAAAGAGTTAAAAGGATTGATAAGAATCTTGCCTCATGGTCAAACTGGTTAAGATTGGATAGAATTGTCTATAAGGTTTTACTAGAAAATTAGGATTGATGGGCCAGGCATAGTGGATCATGCCTGTAATCCCAGCACTTTGGGAGGCCAAGGTGGACAGATCACAAGGTCAGGAGATTGAGACCATCCTGGCCAACATGGTGAAATAATGTCTCTACTAAAAGTGCAAAAATTAGCTGGGTGCGGTGGCACATGCCTGTAGCCCCAGCTACTTGGGAGGCTGAGGCAGGAGAATCACTTGAACCAGGAAGTTGGAGGTTGCAGTGAGCCAAGATTGCACCACTGCACTCCAGCCTGGTGACAGAGTGAGATTCCATCTCAAAAAAAAAAAAAGAAAAAAGAAAAGAAAATTTGGGCTGATATATTAAACAAATGTAAGAGAAAAATTTGGATTTATTTCCCTTGTACAAGATTTTCATGTAATAATATAGGATAATGGAAGATTTCTATTTGTCTTGGGGATACCCTGCCAAGGAAAAGAAAGAGAAGACAGGAGACAAATTGGAAAGCTAAGTATTTCCTGTTAATGAGAAAAGGTTTTTCCCTTGTTTTAAAATGTTTGAGTCATTTTGGCACAACAAAAAACTTATGGCAATCTGGAATTCTATTTCATAAAATCAAGTGTTTTAATCCTCTAGCATATTTAACAGTCTCCCCCAAATCAAATTTCAGCTTCAGCATTGTCTTTCATGACCCCTAGCTTTTGGATGCTATGGAAGGCCCCTGGAGCATCCAGAAGAGAGGGAAACAGGATTACCTGAAATGTGTAGGTATGTGGGATTGCCAAAATGATGTTTAATCTTCTTCAGGTTATATTTTAGTGAATAATAGTCATATATATTCCAAAATTGCATGGAATTTCTCAGGTTTGAATGTCTGAATGTATGCTATTAATCACAATTAAGGGTGTTATGTTATTATAAACCACAGAGATAACCAAATTACTCGGTCAATCATGTATTTGATTGTAACTACTCTGGACATTTTCTTATTTATAGGCAATTGTCTTGTTTTGATCCTTTTCAAAAGATGGTTTATAATCAACCATAGTACTTTGACAGTGGCTCTCAAATGCAGGTTTCTGACAACTTTGGAGATTGTGACATTGGAATAAAGAAAAAACTTACAAGACTCATGAGGGGCTGATATATTCACAATTATCAAGAACAATCAACAAATAGAAAACTGAAGTAATCTTTTTTAACTTTTTCTTAAAACATTTCTGATGTTGGTTTTGTCTTTCAGAGTCAAAGAAACTTTTATTTTGAGCTATTTACAGTCTTTAATAAGTGAGTAAGGTGGACTCCTGTGAACAAGATTTTCAGCATGTTTGTTTCTTTTTGTCTGGTTTCTCTAGAATTTGTAAACTATCTGTGAGTATTCTTAACTTATGGCAATATGGTTATTTGCATCAGTGCAATAAGAATCCATTTTCTTTTGTAACAGTACCCAATTAGAGAAACTATCTGTCAAGACTTTGACTGGAAGGGTTTGCTTCACTTTAAGGTGTCAAGCTCGACTTGCAGAGCTGATAAAAGCCCCTTGGGAAAACTGGCTTCATACTTTGTCTACACAGTACCCGTACAGGTTTCCTAACTGGCAGTGAGTTAAGAATGTCACTTTTTAACAGGCCCGGGAACCCCATATTCTTGGGAGCTTGAGAAGAGTGGAATTCACACAACTTATAGGTATTTGCAGGTACAAACCCATGGCTGGGCTTGGCTTTAAGAAGTTCTGTCTGAGATTGCTTGAGAAACAAACTTCCATCAAAGCCAATTTAAAAAGCCTACTTAAAAATAATTAGTCTTGCTGCATTTTATGCAAATAACCAGGCCAAGTGTAAGACTAAAGTTTATTTTGCAAGCAACCCAGTACTATCAGGATGTGTTTTGAACAAAAATGAGCACTCAAGAGACAAATATGTTCCAACCTTATCATACATTTGTCATCAAATTCTAGACTCATTTGTTGTTTTTTCGTTTTTATCCTACATTTTAAACTAACCCTGCTTATTCCTGTGAACCAACCAGTGATCTCTGGCTGCAGCTCAGAAGAAAGAGAAGGGATGGGCAATATACAAATCTGGATCAGTATTCTAGTTCTCAGCAATTGTCCTGTAAATAGTGTCAGGTGATGGGATTAAATAGGGTGCCAATAACCAGGAGAGTTTTTTGGGGGGAGTTGTGGAGGGGGGCAGAAAGTAAGACCAAGAGAGCTAACCAAAGCTAAGCACCATATAACCTAATCTTAGCAAGCATAACTATAGCTACCAGTTACCTGGGTATGTCAGCAGCCTCTGGACTTTTTAGCTGTCCTTACCTCCTTGTTTCCTTTTGACACATGTGTTTCAACAACCCAGTTTATCCCTTCTCACCTTCAGGCCATTGAATACCAAGCGTTCATGCAACTGAAGCCTCAAAACAATGACCCCCTTTTTATGGGGACCTTTAGATGAGCCTCTGAGGGAGATCTGACTGCTATTTTTCCAAAACAGCACACTCTGTCAGCAGGAAGCAGTTAAGATTATTCATCATCCTTATCCCTATCTTTATTCTAATTGCAGTTAGATGGACTTCTTTCGAGAGGAAAATGATAGAGGCAGGAGACAGCGAAATGCCATCCAGATCATTGTGCACAGAGGGCTTCAGTAACCCATTATACTGACATTTCTTTACTGCTTAAGATTCTTCAGATTGATTACTACTTTCTCCATGTAGAGTCTGACCTTAGACACCAAATACCCATAAAATGGGATAAACGCTTCCTCTCTGAGCTATACAAAATAATCACGCTGAAAGTTGGAAAAGCTTGAGGCTATCACCACAATGAAAATCAACAGCCACAAATTCAAAAACAAAAGGAATAGGAAGAAGCCTAATATTTGGTTAGCCTTTACTATTCACTAGACAAATCCTAGGTATATTTTTTGTGCACAACATTATTTAATTCTTATAAAAATACTGTATTAATCTGTTCTCATTCTGCTAATAAAGACATACCCCAGACTCGGTAATTTATAAAGGAAAGAGATTTAGCTGACACACAGTTCAGCATGGCTGGGGAGGCCTCAGGAAACTTACAATCCTGGTGGAAGGGGAAGCAAACACATACTTCTTTATATGGTGGCAGGAGAGAGAAATGCTGAGCAAAACGGGCAAAAGTTCCTTATAAAACCATCATATCTCATGAGAACTCACTCACTATCATGAGAACAGTATAAGGATAACCTCACTCATGATTAAATTACGTTTTGCCAGGTCCCTCCCATGACACGTGGGGATTATGGGAACTACAATTCGAGATGAGATATGGGTGGGGACACAACCAAACAATATCGAATACTGAAGGAGAAAATATTATAATTAAATTTTTACAGAGAAAGGATATAGGGCTTATTAATAATAAGTAACTTACCAAATCACTGAAATTCATGTTTATGAAGGAATTTGTTAAATAAATAGACTGTTATATTTTTTATACAAAAGACAACACTGAAGGCAATATTTTAAGAAGGGAAAAATTGGTTTCATATAATTTGGCTTCAGACATTATAATACCATATATATGTGTGTGTGTGTGTATGTATATATGTATTTATATTTCCATAGAATTTGTATGTACACACATATATGTTTGTATGTATATGTGCATATGCATACATAATTCAGAAATTATAATATATAATAATTTTTTTATAATTTCTGAATTATGCAGACACATATACATATATACATACATACATATACATATGTATATGTATGCTTTTTTATATAAAATTCATATAAATTATCTTATTTAATATTTATAAATATTTTGAAGTTGAATATATCTTTATAGTATAGGTGAGAAAACTATGGCTCAGAAATTTTATATTACACAGGCAGTAAATGAGCCACCTAGCATAAGAGCTAGGACATTCTGATTCTACATCCCACATATATTTTCCTATTCTGTGTTTGTGCTTAGCTTGGATAAATTTTTTTATTAGATATTAACATATTTGTGTTGTAGTCTTATCTGTTCCTCAATATCATGTGGCAATGAAAAATACGATTCTACTTGCTCGTATTTCAGTGTTGTCATCTCTAATATCCCTTTCAACCTTGTATGTCTTTGTTCATAATTTAAGCTTAGATAGGTGGGACTGATAATGTCACACATCATTAGCTCTTTCTTATATCACTTGCATTTAAACCTTATTTTTCTAATTTAAGTTGAATATTTAGGTCACAGTTTTAGATAGGGTCACTGAGGGAGTTATTCTGATATAAGATTTTATTTTTGAGTCACTCATATCACATTCTCTTTCACAATTAAAACAGCTCTGCTTATACAAAAATAACTCCTAAAAAGTGTGTGTTTATTCAGATTTTATAACATTTTAAAACTACAGAGGTTTTTATTCAATATAGCTATGATGTAACAACTTATGACATGCTTAACAGTGGGCAGAAGTAGCTGTCATACTATCATAATTTATTAGCCTCCCTTTTGGGATAAGAAGGATGATGGGCTAACATTGGAGCAGGAGAAAATCAGCCAACTCATTGCCCTGCACCTGGGGCTTAGCCTGTTGCTAGTCTCTGTAGAGCATGCACAGTAATAAATCTATACTGATTAATTAAGTGGTGCTGCCCATTGCTCTTCTTTTCAATGAACAAAACAAATGCACTCTGAAATTTCCAGTTCCCAGTCAAGCTATTATGTATCTATGCTTAGATTTGTCTTTCAATTTTCATTCAAGAAATATTTACTGGGCAGCTTTTATGTGACAGTCAAAATGTACAAAAATAAATAATCTCTGACCTCTGAATTTTTTAATTCTAGCAGAAAAAGGAACAAAGAAACCCATGGTTACAGTACATTGAGGAAAGTGTTAAGAAAGTGGTGATGGGTTATATAGGATGTACTTATTGGAGCATAGAAGAAAAACTACCTTAAGGATACAACTGAAAATAAGATGCATAAAGGAGGACAATAAGGGTTACAAAAATGAGTCAGAGCATATTGATTTAGTATTTGCTACAGGCAAATGCCCTTCTTTGGATTCTGTTGCAAGGGAAGCATTAGATGCTTTGGGAAAATGCACAAACCTTTCAGGTCAGACCTTGAGATTTAGGGCAGGTGAATAGCAACATCAAAGTATTTGGGATATTTTCATTCACTCATTCATTCATTTACCCACTTGTATATTCATTTATTTATTTACAAGTTGCTAGAATAAAATTGAGCATATCACATGTGCTAAAAAGATTCATAACCACTATAAATCATATGTGGGATTGTTTTTGTTGTTTTCCTTGTTTGCAATGAGGAACATAAGAAGTAGAATTGACTGAGACAGGGAGAGACTCAGCATTGCAGTGTGAAAACACTGCAAACACAAAAACTTTTAGTTTCATTCCAAATTGAAGTGATGCTTTTTCTAAGACTATATTACTGTGCTGAGGAATGAGCCGGCTAAACAGTTCTATCTCTGATCAGCACACCCAATTTGCACATTAAGTCCATTCTTCAGCCAAGCCAGTTGCCTCTGCTGGAGGAACCCAGCCCAGCTTATGGCTGTTGCACACTGCAGAAAGCACATTTCTTCTGCTGGAATTGCATTCGGCTCTACTATATCAGATCACATCATCTAAATGGCTCTCTCAGATAATGGTGTTACCAAGCTCTGCCTTAATGGAAATTTAACTCAAAGTCTTTCATCTGACAACCTTGGAGACTACAAACATGTATTTTGCAGCATATTTTAATGGTGTTGCACCTTTCACCCTTCTAAGCTCTCTTTCTGGAATGCATCTCTACTAGTGAGAGGGCTTTTGTGGTAGGAACTAACTGAAAAATCGTTCTGCAATACTTGTTAAATGGAAGTAGGAGTAGGGAGTTCCTAGTGATTCCATCATTCTTACCAAAATTTGGATGATTATCTGCAATACAATGCATGCTAGCAAAGCCCTGTTGGTGAGTCAGAAGGCCCTCTTCACTGTTCTGCTGACAGTCATGGTGGGTTCACGTCTGCATATCTGATGTGCCTAGAGCAAGTTGATATGCTACCTCTGGCTCATTCAAATTAGAGCTCAGTGTCACTTATAAAACCATCAAACACCAACTGGTTTTCCTCCTGAGCTTGTGCCTCCAGGAAACCAGTATCAACATGTAATAACTCCTGAAAGACTATTTCAAAGCCTGTCCTGTAGTTCTACTTTCTGGATGAGCACAAGTTAATCTTGACATAAAGACTCAGATTCCTTTGGGCTTTAGCTATGTGGGGTTGTTTGATGGGAGAACTATAATAGAAAAATCAAGAGAATGCTTCACAGCTTTAAAAGGATTCTGAATATGGAACTAAGTCCTACAAATATGGCAGAGCTAAAATATACTGGTTTCCAATATGAAAAGAGACCACACTGCCTGATGCTGTTCATCACAATCTCTATGAGGATCCTTTATGTTTGAGGGACTGCTGACACTGCTGCTACTTTATATGTGAAAATAATTTATATGTACTACTTACTTTATATGGGGAAATAAGTCCCAGGTAAATGTGTTATATGTTACCAGCTCTGCCTTTCCAACTGCAGTTTATTGTGGATCTGCCATTTTTAAGGGCTGCATCTGCTACTAGCAAACACACTACCCACCTGTATGCTTTTTACCTTGCATGATTTTAAAATATTTTTGTTTAATGAATAGAAACTTTCTAGAAAAGTTAGCTGTAAGGAACATCTTATTTTTGCACTGGCTGTTATTATATAATCAAAAATGTATTTGTAGGAAATACAAAGAAATGGCAACTTTTCTGAAAAAGGAGATAACACCGTGTCTTTTCCTCTCGACATTTTTAGTCTTGCAGCATGCTGGCAGAATTATGTCAGAAGAGATTTGGAGTCTAAAATATACATTTTGTCCTTTGCTTTTTTCATTTTTATTCTTGTTTTTAGAACTTTCATAACCAGAAATCTCTGCTATAGAGTGGACTCTTGGCTAAAGAAGTATCTATAAACAGTGGACTATAAGGACTTTAAAAAAACATTTAACTGCTCGTTTTAAACAGAAACCTTAAACTGGATTCTCCCACTTTTCTCTGAATATAAAATTTTGTTGGATTTAAATTGCTATATATTTTATTATGCTCACAATTTACTGAACTCCAGATTTATTGTTTATTCATGCTCCAGAAACTATAAAACAAATTTTGAAGAAATAACTGGACATATGGTCAGTCATTATGATTTACGGTTATCAGATATTTCTCATGAATGTCAAACTGTGATAAGAAGTTCACTTTCCTACATTAAGATGTTGTCCAAAGACACATGGTTTTCATTGGCTTAAACTAAAAAATTCCTAGCTGCTCAAGGCATAGGATGTTCGTAACAATTGTCGGTGATACCATTAATAACCAATGATGCCGAGGATACTTTCTCTGAGATCATCTCAATCTCATTTTCTTAATTCCAAAAGCATATATAACTGTTTTCATACTTTTTATGTAACCATGAAATAAGTCATATATGAAGAACAGGTTCTACACCAGGAGTTTCAGAGTAACAAACTACACAGATCTGAACAGAAATTTTTAGGAAAGTCAATGTCTAAAACTTCTAAAATAAATAATGAAATCTTTGAAATAAAGTAACAGATATATAAATAAATATGTGTATTAATAAAGATTTCTTTGAGTAGTACAAATCAAAGAAAGAAATTCAGTTTAAATCAAAGGATTTGATCTTTCTACTGTAGACAGTTTGAGGATACATAGCACAGTGGCATTAAAAAAAGAATCAATGAAGAAAAAACAACTAGAATGATAAAAACAAGGTACTCTAGAAAAGGCCAGCTCAGACAATAGTTTGAATCTCTGAGTTCACTAACAAGCAGTGATTGTATTCAATATCACAATTGCATTCCTTTGGATGTTTAAATATATTCACATCCCATTTTAAATACACTGGAGAAATATATTAATACATAATATATTCAATAATATTTTTTATCATTAAAAATTCCCTAATTTAAATTTTTATGTGAGCAATGTATGTGTTAATTAGCTTGATTTATCCATTTCACAATGTAAACATATATTAAAACATCATGTTATAACCATAAATATTTAGTTTTTACTTCTCAATCGAAAAATAATTAAAAAATAAATGATTAAATGGAATTTCTCAAGCCTCAGTTAAAAAACAAAATAAAATACAATTTTATTTTGTATATAGCTTTTAAACGTGACTTTATTATGTTCTGAATTATATATTACACAAATATCTGGTTAGTATAATTTTTTAGCAATTTAAGAAATTTACTTAAAAGAGCTGCCTATATCATGCTTTATATAGAAATTATAATTTGTTTTGAATGTATATCAATTAAAATATATTTTACTTACATGTCCTGATAACTGGTACATGAACATAAGCATACATTCCAGCATATGAGAGTGTAATTTTTAGAGGGAGCAAAATGGCTGACTGGAAGCAGCCAGAAGGAACCTCTCCCACCCAGAAACTGGGCATTGGGAAGACTGGTGCACCCCTAGCAGATCTTCAGAGGGAAGGAATTGAGAGCGAACAGAGGGAAGACAAAGATGCTGGGCTGAAGTGGGAGGAAGCTGGGAACCATGCATCAGGCTATCACACACCATGACTCATTCCTGGCCCGCAGCAACTCCTGGGGCAGGGGTGAGTTGAGCAGGCAAGCCACCGTGGGCCTCTGGAATCCCAACAGGTGGAAACCCCTTGACCACCATATACACTTGAATTCTCAGGTAGAGCTGTTCAGAGAAGTGATAGAGGCAAAACTCCAGCTGCAGCAGAGCCAGAGTGTTTGGTGTTGGGGTGCCTGTAGTGGAGCGCAGCCGGGGTCACCATCCCCTTAGGCTAGACTTGCTTCCATAGGAGACTTTAGCCCTAGGAAAAGTATCAGACCTGAACTCAGCAGGACGATCTTGCCCATCAGACCGGGCCAGTAAAACTTGAGCATCTCTCAGTCTGCTGGCCTCTCCCGGGGTCCCAGCAAGCCCTCAGCTTCTTGCAGTGCAGCACCCCCCCGCCGCCAAGTACTTCCTGTGCCTACATCATGGCTCCTGGACTAGCAGATCATGCCTGACTGGCAGAGTGCTCCGGCAGAACAGCCACAAGGGACCCACCAGCATCTTTCTCCCACTGCAGCCTCTCTATGCTACATGCACTCACCCACAGCCACCCCCCCATCACTTTGCTGGTGTGTGTGTGCATAGGAAGGCCTGACATTTCCTTCTCCACCAACATGGATGTGAATGTGCACCCTGCCATGTCACTGCTGCTTGAGTGAGTGCACCCCATACCCCTCCCCTTGCTGCACTGCCATTGTTGTCAGACCCCGTCAGACCCATAACCACCAGCACCCCACCCGTGTGCTGAAACTGCCACTAGCATGATACAAGGCATGGATAAAAGCAGACAACCCTCACCCTGAGTGGCCATTGCAAGCTGCAAGAACATTAGCCGGGCGTGGTGGTGGGCACCTGTAGTCCCAGCTACTTGGGAGGCTGAGGCAGGAGAATGGTGTGAACCCAGGAGGCGGAGCTTGCAGTGAGCCGAGATCCCGCCACTGCACTCCAGCCTGCAGCCTGGGCGACAGAGCGAGACTCCGTCTCAAAAAAAAAAAAAAAAAAAAAAAAAGAACATGCACAGAGAGGCAAACACCGCCACCCGCGGGGGAGCCCCTCTGTCCTTGCTGAGCCATACTCTTGCTACAAATGCCCACATGGAAGCCAGCATGCCAGCACCTGCTAGCGCCCTGCCATAGCCAGGGAGTGTGTATCCCATCACGCTGCAGCTGCAGCTGCAGCTGCAACTGGCACATGCAAATGTGGATAGATTCTGATGCCACTGCCCTACGAAGTGCTTTACCTGGCACTACTTTTGGAATGTTGTGCCCAGCAGTCCAAGAGGGCCTTGGCTGTTCTAGCACAGGAAGTTCCTAAATTGAGGAGCCAGAGGTCAAAGCAGGGGCCCTATACCAGTTCCCCAAAGATAGAGTACAGAGGTCAGGGTTCCTAAGCTGAGCTTTGGCCTCCTAAATTCTTCCAGAAATAAAGCCAGTCATCTGAACTCACCTTATGCCACAGTCAAACCCCCAAAGTCATCAAATAGGTTAAAAAACAAACAAACAAAAAATACTCAAAGAATTCCAACTTCGAAGATTGAGAAACATTAGCCCACAAAGATGAGAAAGAACCAGCCCAAAAACTCTGACAACAAAAAAGCCAGTGTCTTCTTTCCTACAAACAACACTAGTCCTCCAGCAAAGGTTCTAAACTGTGCTAAGATGACTGAAATGACAGAGATAGAATTTACAATATGGATAGAAATGAAGATCACTGAGTTCCAGGAGAATGTTCAAACCCAATCTAAGGAAGCTAAGAGTCACAATAAAAAGATAAAGGAGCTGACAGACAATATAGTCAGTATAGAAAAGAATGTAACCAACTTGACAGAGCTCAGAACCACTACAAACATGTCACAATGCAATCCAAGTATTAACAGCAGAATTGCCTAAGCTGAGGAAAGAATCTCAGAGCTTGAAGACTAGCTTTCTGAAATGTGATAGTCAGACAAGAATGAAGAGAAAAGAATTAAAAGGAACAGACAAAACTTCTGTGAAATACGGGATTCTGTAAAGACACCGAGTCTATGAGTCATTGACTTTCCTGAAAGAGATGGGGAGAATGGAAGCAGCTTGGAAAACGTATTTTAGGATATCATCCATGAGAACTTTCCCAAATTAGTTAGAGAGATCTGCATCCAAATTCAGAAAACGCAAAGAACTCCTGCAAAATACTTTATAAGAAGGTCATTCCCAACACACACTATCATCAGATTCTCCAAGGTCAAAATGAAAGAAAAATGTTGTTAAAATGAACTCAATATGGCCTGAGAAGGACTCTGCACCTCTATATTTGAGTCTCTGTGGACAAACTACAACCTAATTTAATAGGTAGACAAAATTGAGAAACTAACTTGGGAGTGTGCACCTGTAACAGTGGCTGGGTCTTGGCCAATCCCAGTAGCCATACGTCAACAACTCATACACTGTCAAGTGTTCAAACTGTGCTCAAATAAGGCAAACACCGAGCTGTAACCAATCCCCCCATTCTGTGCCTCACTTTCCATTTCTGTATGTAACTTCCCTTTTTTTGTTTTGTCTATAAATATTCTTCCAGCATGTGGCTGCACTAGTCTCCCTGAGTCTGCTGTGACACTGGGGGCTGCCCGATTTGCAACCAATTCATTGTTCAATTAAACACTTAAATTACTTAAATTTAATTCGGCTGAAGTCTTTCTTTTCTTTCTTTCTTTCTTTCTTTCTTTCTTTCTTTCTTTCTTTCTTTCTTTTTCTTTCTTTCTTTCTTTCTCTCTCTCTTTCTTTCTTCCTTCCTTCCTTTCTCTCTCTCTCTTTCTTTCTTTTTCTTTTCTTTCTCTCTCTCTCCCCTCTCCCTCTTTCTTTCTGTCTTTCTTCTTTCTCTTTCTTCTTTTATTTAAAAAAAAACAAAAAACAATGTTAAAGGCATCTAGAGAGAAAGGACAGGTCACCTACAAAAAGAAGCCCAGCAGACCAACAGTAGACCTCTCAGCTGAAACCTTACAAACCAGAAGAGATTGAGAACCTGCATTCAACATTCTTAAAGAAAATAATTAAAACTATTTTAAAATCATATACAACCTAAAAATGAGCCCATATAACGAAGGTAATCCTAAGCAAAAAGAACAAAGCTGGAGACATCACACTACCTGATTTCAAACTATACTACAGAGGTAGAGTAACTAAAACAGCATGGTACTGGTACAAAATCTGACACAGAAACCAATGAAAAGAATAGAGAGCCGAGAAATAAGGCCACACACCTACAACTAACTGATCTTCAAAAACGGTGACAAACCAATGTAGAAAGGACTCTCTATTCAATAAATGATGCTGGGACAACTGGTTAGCCATATGCAGAAGGTTGACGCTGGACCCCTTCCTTACACCATATAAAAAAAAATCAACTCAAAATAAATTAAGGATGTGAATGTAGAATCCAAAGCAATAAAACTCTGGAAGACAACTTCTGCAATATCATTCTTGACATAGGAACTGGCAAATATTTCATGACAAAGATGCCAAAAGCAATTGTAATAAAAACGAACATTGATAAATGGGGTCCAATTAAACTAAAGAGCTTTTGCACAAAAACCACAACTACTAAAAGAGTAAACAGACAACCTACAGAATAGAACATATTTGCAAACTATGCATCTTACAAAGGTCTAATATCCAGCATCTTTAAGAAACAAGCAAATTTACAAGAAATAAAAAGCAAATCCCATTAAGAAGTAAGCAAAGGAAATAAGCAGACACTTTCCAAAATAAGACATACATGTACCAACAGGCATAGGTAAAAAAGCTCAACATCACTGACTATTAAAGAAGTGACTATCAGAACTACAATGAGATATTGTCTCATGCCAGTCAGAATGGCTATTATTAAACAGTCAAAAAAGGACAAAAAACCAAACACCACATGTTCTCACTCATAGGTGGGAATTGAACAATGAGAACACATGGACACAGGAAGGGGAACATCACACACCGGTGCCTGTCGTGGGGTGGGGGGAGCAGGGAGGGATAGCATTAGGAGATATACCTAATGTTAAATGACGAGTTAATGGGTGCAGCACACCAACATAGCACATGTATACATATGTAACTAACCTGCACATTGTGCACATGTACCCTAAAACTTAACGCATAATAATAATAATGAAAAAAGAAAATATATTAAAAACAGATGTTGTCAAGGTTTCAGAGGAAAAAGGAATGTTTATGCACTGTTGGGAGTGTAAATTAGTTCAAACAATGTGGAAAGTAGTATGAAAATTCCTCAAAGAGCTGAAAACAGAACTACCACTTGAAACAGCAATATCATTACTAAGTGTATACCCAAAGAAATATAAATTGTTCTATCATAAAGACACATGCATGCATGCATTCATTGAACTATTCACAATAGCCAAGACATGGAATCAAGCTAAATGCCTATCACTAGTAGACTGGATAAAGACACATAGAGGGGAAAACACACTGGGGTCTACGGAGGGTAGAGGGTGAGAGGAGGGAAAGAATTAGAAAAAATAACTAATGGGCACTAGGCTTAATATCTGGGCAATGAAATAATCTGTATAACAAACCTCCATGACACAAGTTTACCTATGTAATAAACCCACACTGGTATCCCTGAACTTAAAATAAAAGTTAAAAAAAAAGAAAATGTGTCACATATATACCATGGAACACTATGCACCAATAACAAAGAATGAGATCATATGTTTTGCAGAAAATTTGATGGAGTTGGAGGCCATTATCCTTATCAAACTAATATAGGAACAGAAAACCAAATACCACATGTTCTTACTTAGAAGCGGGTGCTAAATGATGAGAACACATGGACAACAAGATGGAAGAAACAGACACTAGGGCCTATCTGAGGGTGGGAGGTGGGAGAGGAACAAAAAAGTAATTATTGGATTTTAGACTTAATACCTGAGTGACAGAATAATCTGTACAACAAACCCCCATGACATGAGTTTGTTTTATTTTTAGGTGTAATTGTTATTGGGTACATGGTGAAATAATACATTTCAAACTTTGCATGACAGAACATAGTTAGTTATTAACTTATTTAAAAATTTTATTTACTCTTCTTGCTTAGTGAAAATTAAATGTTGGGCATTAAATAATAAGACTAATATTTTCTCCTAAACCTCAGACTTAAGAAAAAAATGTTTTATAAATAGCCTATACAGTCAGTTATTTAAAAAATGAAATTCAGCTTTTAGAAATGGAAAATTTATTGAGTAAACAGAGACTCTCCTTGTCCTGCCCAAAGCATGTAAAATATTTTGAGTAAAGACAGACCAAACTCCTCAATTTACGTTGATAAATATGCCAAATATTGACATTTGTCTCAAGTAATATATGTTAAATTTAATGGGAACCAAATATCCAAAAACCAACATTTGTCATTTTATACAAATATCTGGCATATTTTCATTACACTTAATCTCATGCTGTTAGGTTGTAGGCTTTTTTTTTCTTTCCAATTTACTAGTCAGTTAAATGAGAGAGGATTACCTCTACTGGAAATTGAACTGAGAATGATTTGGCTTCCTGATATTACTTAATAACAGCTTGCAAGAAGTTAATGCCATTCTGAAACCCATGGCCAAGAGTAATTATAGCTATAAAGTTAGTATAAAAATAGTAGAAAAGGATAAGTCTCTGACTATGAAGCTGTGTCTATATGCAACATAATGGAAATATAAGAAAAAAGGGAGTGTATCCATTTGACAATATCACCTGCCAATGTGATTCAGCATTCTTATTTATGGTATTTGAACCTTAATTTATAACTCAAATAGAAGCAGGTGGTACACATTTTCAATCTGAATTGTCCCAGTGTGATTATCACTAAGGTACACGAATGTATATATGTTTTACCAGAAGCAGCATTTTAATAATTGACTTGAGTTTAGAGCATTCTGTCAGAAGACCATCATAATTAAAACCATCATACCTTTAGGAAGGAATTCACAAGAATATACTGACCATTGCTTAATTTTTATCTCTAAAATAGAATAAAAAATTAATGCTACATCATTATAGTCTAGGCAAGGTCATGGTTAATTTCTATATCACATATTACATAATGTTTTTCTCAACAACAACTGCAAGGCTGACTCTAGACTTAATTTTATTAAGGAATAAAAAAGTAGGTTCTAAAGATTTATATCTTTCAAAGCCCTATCAAACTGTGAAAGATTAGGTTGCCCTCTATATATCATATTATATTTTCTAGAATTGCTAATGAGACTTCAGATGAGGTTTAGTTGTAACTTCTCAGCTCTTTTGGCCTCCACATACTACAAGACCATAAGCTAAATATCAATTGAAGAGCTCTCTGCCACCTGAGTTTTTGGTGAAATTGCATATAAACCCACATTCAATAGAATTTTGTCAACCTTCAAAGATGTTGTCCAATTCTCAGGGGTCTACAGTCTCTGAGCCTTTTATTTACCCTAATTCTAGTGTTTCTCAATGATGGTTGTCCCTCTCTTTTCAAATAGCAACTCTTCCTCATCTTCCATGTCATTCCACCACCTTTCTTCTTCACATCACTACAACAATTAAGCATTTCACTCAGAGTATACGTGCATCCAACAGCATGTTCCGAGATGGTTTGAGACCCTAATAACTGGTCACATGTAATGCACTTCAACTTCTACCCTTTGTTGGCTCTCTTTCTCTTCTTCCTAATATAATTACTTCCTTAATGTCTTTGATATTCTTCTGTAGATTTGGTACATCATGTTACTCCATCCTGAAAAGGAAAAAGGGGATAGTGAAATTCACCTTGTAAAACAATTAATTATCAAAATAATATTCCACAAAATATAGTCTTCCCAAGGAGCTTATGTGGTAGGTTTTAAGGAAATAGCATTTTGTTGCAACTGTTTGCAAGTTAAATCACAATTAATAGACTTTCTTCTATCAAAGTAAGCATGCAGAGCTCACAAAAATCAAGGAAAGCTAAGTTAGGGTAGCTAAGTTTTAATTGCCTACATTCTTTTAAGTCTCTATTTTTATTATCATGAATTGCAACCAAATTTCACATGTTCTCATTTATAAGTGGGAGGTAAGTTATGCAAAAACATGGACACATTGAGGGAAACAACACTCAGTGGGGTCTTTTGGAGGGTGAAGGATTGGAAGAGAGAGATTAGAAAAAATAACTAAAGGGTACTAGGCTTAATACTTGGGTGATAAAATAATCTGTACAACAAGGCTTCATGACACAAGTTTACCTATGTAGCAAACCTGCACATGTACCCCTGAACATAAAATAAAAGTTAAAAAAATAAAATTTTTATTGATAAAATCTCATGGTGTTTTTGAATGACTTCAGCCTCCATTAATTCATTCAGCAAGGGTTTCAGAGTACTGATGATGCATCAGGGACTATTTTAAGTTCTATATATCTGGCAACAACAACATAAATAACCAAAAATGTGTTAAAGGGAGACAAAAACCTAAATAACATACTATATATTATGTTCCATACTAATAAATACAAAAGAAGAAAATAAAGCTTAAAGGGACATTGAAATGGCTGAAATTAGAGGAGGTATAGTATTTTAAATAGGAAGGTAAGGAAAAGCTTTAGCATGTGCAGGATGAAAACAAGAGAAAATTTTCCTATTTCCACCGTAGGCCTCACACTGAATAAAAAGCAACAGAAATCTACTTCTGAGAGGAGGAGAAGTTTGAGGAGAGAAACTCCCCACCACGATTCAGGCAAACAAGAATGACTAAAAACTCAGGGTAAAATACAAAGACTCAAAAAAAAAAAAAGTCCTTAGACATCCAAAATGCCATCCTCAACACAAGGCAATCACATCCAACTGCTAGAAGAATTTGAAGACTATGACGTCCTGAAGGTCACAATATCAGGAAAAAAATCTCAAACTCAGCTCAACTACTTATTGGTTTGGCACAGTGATAGAAACATTGAAGAAGAAGTCCACTTATTTCAGAAATAAGTGATCTTGACTTCAGTGTCTCATGTTTCTCCTACAATGTTGACATCAATTAAAAAACATAAGCTCATACAAATGCAAGCAAGCAAACAAGCAAACAGAACACAAAAAGTCAATTGTACTAGTCTCAGAGAGATATCTAGATGTTGAAACCATTGAACAGAAAATTTAAAATAACTATGACTATATGTTTCACAATTTAATGGAAAAGGTAGGCAATAGGCATGAACATTTAGATAATGTTTTTAGAAAGAATAAACCTATAAGACAGCTAAATAAAAATTCCATAATTAAAAAAATGCGAGAGATAAAATTCTTTCAATAGGCTCACCGGTGAATTTAACACAGCTGAGGGAAGAATTGGTAGATTATAGGCCAATAGAAATTGCTAAAAACTAAAATGCACAAAGAAAAATGATTGACAAAAAGCAAGCAAACACTGCCACTGCAAAAACAGATAAGAGCATCCAAAACCGGAAAAAAAATTCAAACACTCTAAAAGATGTGTCATTGGATTAGAAGAAGGGGAAAAATGATAAAATAGCAAAAGTGATATTGGAACAGAGAATGTTTGAATTTTTAAAAAAATAATAAAAGACATCTAAACCCAGATTCAAGAAGCTAAGAATAACACAAGCAGAATGAATACCTCCAGAAAACCATACCTAGGCATATTATAGCCAAACTGCTAAAAATCAAAAATAAAGAAACATGTCTTTAAAGTCAAGAGAAAGGTAAAAAGAAAAGACAGTTTACACACAAAGTAGCAAAGATAAGAATTATACCAGACTCTGTTTAGACACCACACAAGCCAAAAGATGTGTGAGATCTTTGAAGTGCGGAAAGCAGAGGAAAAAACAAAAATCTTTGTCAACACAGAATTCTGGACTCAGAAAAAAAGGTATATTTTTTAAATCAAAGCCTAGTAACAACAGTTTCAGATGGTCATAATCTGAAAGAATTAATAACCAGCATTCTTGCCCCATAGGAACTGTTAAACAAAGTTCTTCTGAGAGGACTTTGGTTCTAGATATGAATCTACACAAAGAAATGGAGGCTCTAGAAATTGTAAAATAAATAAACATTATTTTCTTATTTTTAATCACTTTTAATGATATTTGGCCATCTGAAGTAAAATTAGTAGAAATATCACATGCTTATAACACTTCTAAAATAAAACATATGACAACAATAGCATAAATATTTGGAGAGAGGGATTAGAAAAAATATGATTCTGGGAGGAGAGGTTTTATTTCACTATGTAGTCTCTGCTGCCTTTAAAATGTATTGAATTTTAAGGAAAAAAGTGTTTGCATTAGTTAAAATAATAGGTTATGTTGAAGGAATTGCCCAACTTATAAACATTAGTTGCTTTGTACCACACAATTTTATATTTTCAGATATGTATTGGGTAGCTCTTCAGGGCTGCTTGTTTTTCATGACTCAATGGCCCTTATCTTATCACAGTAGATGAAGAGAAAGGATGCGCTGTCATGCACAGGATTTTGATTCCCTTTGCCAGTCATTGAAACGTATCATATTCATTGGTCAGAACAAGTCACATGTCTCTGCTGCCATTCCTTAAATATATGTTGACTGGTAAGTATAAAAATTTGTAAACCAGGTATGGTGGTTTACATCTGTAATTCTAGCACTTTGGGAGGCTGAGGCAGGATCACTGGAGCTCGGGAGTTTGAACCAGCTCAGCCAACATTGCAAAACCTGATCTCTATTAAAAAAAAAGTGATAATTTATTTTCCTGGGAAGGGGAAAAAAACTAGACATGCATGAACATTGGTAATTTTTGCCATATAGCTTCACTAGTGAACTAGCGATTAAATTATACTCAGCCTCTTGGCCCATGAAATATGAAATTGATGCATTTGCAGTTCCCTAAAAGCATGGAAACATTTCTATATTTGTCTACCTATCTGTCTGTGTATCTATCGATCTATCTATTTATCTATCTATCTATCTATCTATCTATCTACCTATCATCTATCTACCTATCTATCCATTGATCTATCTCATCTATCTCTGGGTTAAGCATCTCTAATCTGACAATCCAAAATCCAAACTGTTCCAAAATCTGAAACTTTATGAGCACCAACATGATGCCACAAGTAAAAAATTTCACGTCTGTCCTGCTGAGAGAAGAAGTAGTCAAAATGCAAAGAAAACTTTGTTTCATGAACAAAATGTTTAAAAAACATACAAAATTTTCTTCAGGCTATGTGTATAAGGTACATATTTATATAAAACATAAATAAATTTTGTGTGTAGATTTGGGTCTTTTTCTCAAAATATCGCATTATGGTATATGCAAATATTCCAAAACTTGAAATTTAAAACACCTCTGGTTTCAAATATTTCAGAGAAGAAATAATCTAACTATACCATCTCTATATATTATGGCTTCAATTATATAAAAAAGCCTGATAAAATGAGTGTGGCTAACAAAAAAATTACAGCCTTAACAAAGATTAAATAGCAGAATACATGTTCTAATTTAGTTGTTTTTATTCCTTTTTAAAGCCAATTTAGTCCCCTCACATTTCATTTAATAACAGTAGAAATTTATATAATATTTGGAATATATATGACATTACATATCCTAATGCTGCATGATAATTGCCACATGATGAACTTTAGTAATCAGTGCTTAAGATGTTAATATAAAGTTTCAGATTGTTAGTAATAACATTTTAAGAAACTGTAACTCAAAGTCCATTTAATTTTTAGACTGTAAATACTCCTGTAGTTATATCAAGTCTTATATAGTTTATTAGGAATTATCTTTATATAAAAATATATTTTTATCTGTCATCCAATTACCCTACTCTCTAAAATTATAGTCACTGATTTGGAATAATCATGATTGATTTTGTTTTGTTTTTAGAATATAAGTCAAGAAAACCAGAAACAAATCCTCTTACTTATCCAATTTTGACAATAAAAGTACTTCTATTTTTCCATCTTTTTTTTTTCTAATTACAATATGACCAAAGAAAATTCTTTTATTTTTGTAAAAGTTGAAGTATAGCACATTTCTCCAACTGTTCCTGCTAAGCTTAGAAATTAACAGACCTTCACATGAATTTATTGGTTAAAACATGCTAAACAGTTTCCAATATAGTGAACCTGCAGTATTAATTTCTTAAGAAATTGTAATGTCACTCCATTATGTGTACATCTTTACAGCCTGTTCAGCTTTTGCTTAATACTAATTAAATGGGAGATATGGGTAGTAAAAGTTGATGATCTATGTTTTTCATTGGCATGGACTTAGACATTCATATGCTACAAATACAGATTCACAAACACAAGCACAGTTATACATGATGTCTAGAATAGAAAAGAAGTGAATTAGAAATTTGTTTTAAGAACAAAAAACATAAAAGATAGGCTCAGAATATTATGAATAAGTGTATATAAACATATCTTCTTAGGAAGGCAGTGGATGAAAATTATTTGAAATTTTTTTCTTAATATTATATATAATTTCATTTATTCTTAAACTTGTTACTAATCATTTTTGATGAGAGGAGAAACAGACAAAATTGGTTTAATAGTTTTACAAGGATTGATTAAAATTTTGCTTGGCTAAAAACCCAGTTTTCATAATTTTAAATGCCATTCCCATGGAAAAATAGTCAACATTAGCTATCTAACGTTTGTAGACATTCATGGAGTAAATCTCCCACTGGATTATAATGCCCTTAAATTTTGAGACTAATTTTCTTTTTGTTTCCTACAGCATTTAGCATGATGCTTGTCACATAGGAATGTCTCCACAGATAGTTTTTGAAAGAATTAATAAAAACATGGTGGATGTAATTAAACATCATAGAATGTACTTATTATACATTTCTCTCATTAATAGTTTTAATTCAATCCAGATGTTTTAAAAGATTTGTGATTTCCTTTATCACACACTACAAAGAAATTCCCAGGCCTTTAAGTGAAACTTGGAACATACTGAGAGTTTCTTAATTTAAAGATCATTTCCCGTGGGATTCCAATTTGCCACTGTGTGGACGTCTGGCAGAACCATTTTCACAAATTTATAATAGCAGGGTAAAAGTCAGAAATCATTTTAATGGTAAAAATGTGTTTCATAGTCAGGAAAATTATCTTTTATAAAGCATACTATAATTTACAGTAGTATGACAATTAGCATATCTTTGCTGGTATAGATTTCTTCAGTAATTATGTAGGGTTTTTTTCTAAGTTTCAGAAAAAAACCTTTTCTCAGGCAAATATTAAGATATCATCTTCTGTGCCATAACTGCATTTTGAGGGAAAAAGAATATCAAGCTTCTTTTAAAAATATAATAATGACAATTATTTAGAGGGCATTTACTAATGGTCACCCCAACTGTGTGAGAGGAGTCAGTGCTTTAACTCTCATTATTCAAAACTTATTAGCCACTGTTGATTCATGGGCAAATTAAGTACCATGTGGTTAAAGACCACTGTCAACAATAATATGAGATGTGTGATGGAAAATTGTATCCCTTTCTGTAAATGTTATTTTGTATAAAGTAAATTGAAAACATAAGTACTCTTGTGTTCCTACCTATAAAATTTTACATTTTCTTTAAACTATTTCTTTAGCATATTTTCTTCAATTGCCAGGTTGGGGAGAGGGGCATCTCATGATTCCATTTTTTACCAATGGGACAAAGTCTCAAATGGGTAAAATGATGCAAGGGCACACATGACTAGTAAATTACAAATTTTGAAATGAACCAAAAGCATTATTCTTTACATTTAGATTCAGGGTGACTTTCTTGATAGCCCCACAAATTTATGTTGGACTGAGTAGTACAGTTGCCAGGTAACATATAGAATGATCAGTTAAAGTTAAATTTTAGATTAACTCATCAATGTTTTAGTATACATGTGTTCTAAATATCGCATGTAACACACATAAACTAAAAAAAAGTTTGCTTACTTAAAATGAGAATTTAATTGAACTTAGAAATACATATTCTATGCGACGTTAATGAACTTAATAAGCAATGCTTAAAATGTTAATATAAAGTTTCAGATTCTTAGTAATAAAATTTTAATAAACAATAACTCAAGGCCCATTACTTCAATTTTTAGACTATAAATATTCATGTGTTTATATAAAAAACAGAATGATTTTTCTTTGTTTCGTTGGGTTTGGCTAAAACTCGCAACTCTAGTTGGGTAGGGATATATGAAAGACTCACGTTTAGCAAATGAACAAGGAGCATCTGATAGAAAGTAAAAACATTTTAAGATTGTTAGTAATCTGCTATAGATCTCTGATATATCCAAAACACTTTAGACCTGATTAAGAAACGATAAACTAAATAAATAAAGCAAATGAAGATACCTCCAGCAAACAATAGTCCACAAAATCAATGGTCCATTTTAACTTTATGGATTTCCACTTTTCTACAAGTAATATCAGCCTGTTCATTTGTGTTTTTGTTTCTTTTGCTCAGCAGTAACATAGTCATCTGCTCAGCAGAAGACATATTACACTCAGCTTGCGATATTGTGGCTCTGTGGTGCTCTGGACATGGAAGACTTAGAGCTGGAAATATAATCTCATTATTGATCTGGTTTCAATTCTAGCAGTGGAGGGAAAGGTGGATCTTTAGACTAAATCTTTATGGATGCAAGTTCAAGAGCCCAGACCTTGAAACCAGAAGTCATGGGTTCAAATACTGACTGCCACTTACTAACTGCATTAATTAAATCAGTTACATAGCTTCCTCTTTATGATTCTTAATCTGTCAACTGTGCTTGATATTATACTAGGCTTATAGAGTTTTCATAAAGAGCAATGACTAATTGTACATAATGCTCTTATAATGATTCAGGGAATATGGTCCTTTTATTACTATTGATATTATTAGACATTTAATCTACCATTTCTAGAAAAATTTTAGTTTTATCTAAGAGATAAGATTTAAAACATATAGCAGTAAGAGTAATAAAATATACTTTTTTTACTACCAACATTAGACATTTGTAATTTACTGAAAGTAAAATAATTAACAGCAGATGTGATACAATAAATGGAATTAAAAATTAGGCACCTGTTTCCCTTTTGTACCTGCACCAAGTCCACTGTCTTTTGTGTTTATAAGAGTGTACCACTCATATGTATACATTTACATATATAATTAGCTTTACATGCTTAGAAATGCTTATCCATGCATGCTCTGTGCAGCTCTGTTCATTACTTGCACCATTTGTCTTGAGACCTATGGATTGTTTTTGTAATCTCAAAATAATCTTCAAATTCATATCTATGAGTATTTTAAGTTATATTCTTTATAGGAACCAAACTGGCAAATAATAAAATTAATATTTCAATATAGCTAATATAAATACAGAACTAAAAATAATCTATATTTCTGAAGATATATGCAGCCTTAATTAATCAATAGTAATAGGTAGTAAAATATTTGAATTAGATTCTGGCAATTCAACATGGTTTTAATTTCTAAAAAGTAGTTTCCAAATTACTGCTACTGCCTCAAAATACAAAGAGAAGAAGGAGAATTGTGTAAGTAGTACAGGAGTTGAACCAAATAGCTCTACACTAGAGTATCATTGGATGTGTATTCTGAATTCTTAGCACTTCACATAACGATTTCCACATGAGGGGCATTAGCTTTTTTCTGATAGTTTCTCTCCACTTCAATCTATTTCTTCTTAATGAGTATTTTCATCAAGCAGAAGTAAGAGAAGTAATATACAAGCATAAGATTTCTGCCGTGCTTTTTACATTGTCTTCTCTTCTGTGTCTCTGTGTCTCACATCTCTCTACTTTTCTTTCATAAGGACACCTGCCATTGGATTTATGTAACCCATCCTAAAAAGGATGATTGAATCTCAATATCCTTAACACAGTTACTTCTGCAAAGACTTATTTTAAAAATAATATTATTTTAAAATGATAAACAATTGTATATAGGCATACTTTAGAGATTTTGAGTATTTGGTTCCAGACCACTGCAATAATATGGATATCACAAAAATGTGAGTCACACAAAATATTTTTCCAACGCATATACAAGTTATGTTTACATTATTCTGTAGTCTATTAAGTACGCAATGACATTATGTCTAAAAAACAGTGTAATTATGTTAAAGCAATTTGGGAGGCCAAGACGGGTTGATCAGAAGGTCAGGCATTCGAGACCAGCCTGGTCAGCATAGTGAAACCCTGTATCTACTAAAAAGACAAAAAAAAATAGCCGGGCATGGTGGTGGGCACTTGTAATCCCAGCTACTCAGGAGGCTGAGGCAGGAGAATCACTTGAATCCGGGAGGCAGAGGTTGCGGTGAGCCGAGATCGTGCCATTACACTCCAGCCTGGGCAACAAAAGCGAAGCTCTGTCTCAAAAAAAAAAAAAAAAAAAAATATATATATATATATATACACACACATATATGTATATATATATATACACACATATATGTATATATATATATATATATATATACACTTTATCGCTAAAAAATGCTAATGATCATCTGAGCCTTCAGTAAGTCATAATCATTTTGCTGTGGAGGGTCTTGTTTTTTTGTTGATTGCCCCTGACTGATCAGAGAGATGGTGGCTGAAGGTTGGGGTGGCTGTGGTAACTTCTTAAATAACACAATAATTAAGTTTGTCACATAAATTGGCAAGTCATTTCTCTGTAGCATGCAATACTGTGTAAAAGCATTTTAGCCACAGTATAAGTTCTTTCAAAAGTGGAGTCAATCCTCTCAAACCTTCTTGCTGCTTTATCAACCACGTTTATAAAATATTCTAAATCCCTTGTTCTTATTTCAACAATGATCACAACATCTTCACCAGGAGTAGACTTTATCTCAAGAAACATTTTTTTTTGCTCATTCATAAGAAGCAACTCCTCATTTGTTCCAGTTTTTTCATGAGATGACAGTAATTCCATCACATCTCAAGGATTCATTTCTAATTCTATTTCTCCTGCTATTTAGACCACATCTGCAGCTACCCACTTCTCTTAAATTATGGACCCTTTAAAGTCATTCATGAGATTTGGTCTCAAATTTTTCCAAACTCCTATTAATGTAGATATTTTGACCTCCTCATATCAATCACACACGTAGTTAATGAAACCTAGATTGGTGAATCCTTTCTAGAAGTTTTTCAATTTACCTTGCCCAGATGCATCAGAGTAATCCCTATCTGTGACAGCTATAGCCTTATGACATGTATTTCTTAAATAATAAGAATCAAAATTTGAAATTAATCCTTGATCCATAGGCTCCAGAATGGATGTTGTGCTATGAGGCATGAAAACAACATGAATCTCTTTGTGCATCTGTATCAGAGCCCTTGGGTGACTAGGTGCATTGTCAATGAGCAGTAATATTTTGAAAGAAATATATTTTTTTTCTGAGGAGTATATCTTAACTTTACTCTTAAAATATTAAGTGAAGCATGCTGTAAACAGATGCGCTGTCATCCAGGCTTTATTGTTTCTTTGATAGTGAAAAGGCAAAGTAGACTTAGCATAATTCTGAAGGGTTCTAGAATTTTTGAAATGGTAAATGAGCATTGGCTTCAAGTCAATGTTAGCAGCTGCATTAAGCCCCTAATGAGAGAGTTGGCCTGTCATTTGAAGCTTTCTTCTACCAATAGAAGGCAGTTTTGTCTACATTGAAAATCTGTTGTTTAGTCTAACCACCTTCATCAATAATCTTAGGTACTTCTGGATAACTTGCTGCATTTTCTACATTAGCACTTTCAGCTTCATCTTGTACTTTGTATATTATGGAAATAACTTTTTCTCCTTTAACCTCATGAACTAAACTTTGCTAGCTCCCAACTTTTCTTCTGTAGCATCCTCACCTATATCAGCTTTCTTGAATTGATGAGAGTTAGGGCCTTGCTCTAACTAAGTATTAGCTTAATGGAATATCGTGGTTGGTTTGATCTTCTATCCAGACCACTTAAATTTCTCTACATCAGCAATAAAGCTGTTTTGCTTTCTTATAATTCATTCATTCACTGGAGTAGTACTTTTAATTCCCTTCAAGAAATTTTCCTTTGCATTCACAACCTGGCTAACTGCTTTATACAAAAGGCATAGCTTTTGGCCATTCTTGGCTTTCTCCATGCCTTCTTCACTTAAGCTTAATCATTTCTAGCTTTTGATTTAAAGTGAGAGATGTGACTCTTCCCTTGAAAACTTGGAGGATATTATGGGGTTATTAATTGGCCTAATTTCAGTATTATTTTGTCTCAGAGAAAAGGCAGGCCTGAGGAGAGAGAGAGAGGGAAAGAGAAAGGACCATTCAATGGAGCAGTCAAACATTTAATTATGTTTGCTTTTATGGACACAGTTTGCAGTGCCCCTCTCCCCCGAATTACAATAGTAACATAAAGATTACTGATTACAGACCATTATAACATATAAAATAATAATTTAAAAGTTTAAAATATTGTAAGAATACCCAAAATGCGACACAAGATACAAAATGAGCACATTGTTGGAAAAATTGTACCAATAGACTTGCTTGATTCAAGGTAGCCACAAATCTTCAATTTGTAAAAAGCATAAAATCTACTGAGCACAATAAAGGGAAGTGTAATAAAATGAGGCATGCCTGTATTAGTCAGCTGATATAAGTATTCCTACTGTGATGTAACATAGATTATCCTTGGTTTGCATAGTTTTGATATTAATGAGTTTTAGTTTTCATGATTTAGTTAAATAACATCAACCCTCCAACAACTTGGTTTCAATTTTGGAAGTCCCACTGTATTTTCTGTGAAGAACTGCAGAAGGTACAAATTTGGCTGTTAGCTTGTTATTCTACTAATCACTATGTAAATAACTGATGCATTTACTTCATTATCAATGACTACTGAGTCAATTCTTTTTGAATATGTCAGTGATTGGCCACTGCTCATCCGTTATTCATTTCACATCTAGACACAAAGCTGTAGTTGTATTATGTTGCACTTTTGTCTCTCAGTGAAAAACCGTCATACAATTTTACAAAAACAGATAATCAAAAGACAACATTAATCATCCAAGATGAAAGTGCAGCAAAGAAACTTGATGTCTAGAAATGAAATTCGAATAGAATGAAGTTACAAAAGAAATAGCTAATTGCAAAAATGTTGATATTGTCTCCATTTGGAGAAACTAGATATGCAGCTGGAGAAACTTAGTAAAGGTAAATTTACCCACATGCATAAATAAAGTGGTTATAATGAAAATAATAAAAATGTCTCAGAGGACTGGTAGCTGCAACAAAGTTCACATTAAAGAAACACTAGGAGATTTTTATGACATTGAAAGCTGAAAGGACAAAATGTTGGAAGATAATAAGAACTTCAAAAGGAGTATGACTATTGGCCTAGCCATGGAAATGACACACCATGTAAGTTATATGACCAACAAGAAGGTAAGCACTATCCAAGCTACTGTAAACCCAGAAATAGAGCCCTTTAATTTTCAATAAGTCAGAGTATAATGACATTTATCCCATCTTCATTAAATTTCAGTACTAAGTAAAAATGTTTTACTATTTTTATTCGTGTATAATCTTGTAATTAACAGTACGACAAAAGTTTTAAATTTTATCTTGATAAATATTTTGATATGATTTTACAAGGACACAGGTGAATTGTAAAGTTTCCCATTGGTTATTAGGATTGTTTTGCAAGGTTTCAGCAAAACAGTGATAAGAAATATTATAGTAAATGGTTGGGAAAGCTGAATAATAATCCATCAAAGTCAGAGCCTAAGGTCTAACTATGTCAAAAGGAAGACGGTGGGATGAAGGCCACTGTTTTCTACTTCAGTTGACCTAGGGTTGTTTACTTTCAACTGTTGTTTCTTGGTAACCTCAAATATTGTCTGATAAATGTGGTTTATAAAATAAGGCAATTACCACTTAATAAAATAGTCTGTCTTTATCAAATGCATATGAAATAATTCATACAATAGATAAGTAATTTTGGCATAAAAAACAATGTATGTGCTTACATTTAATTAGATTAAATTTTTCAGTGATTGTAATATACCCTCTAGTGTTATGTACTTTCAAAAAGAAAAATATATGTTGACATAGTGCTTTTTTATAATAGCTTTATATTTGGTAATTATTGGCTGGTGTTTAGATTTAATAAGCCAGAAATTATTTTTGCTATCTGATATTTATAAAAAAAGAAAGAGAGAATAGACAAAATTTAAGAATAAACATACACAAAATATAAATTAAATAATCTGGTTAAGATATTCCTAAGATTTCTTCACTTTTAGAGTTTAATTCTTTATTGTATTTTTGGCTTAAACTAGTTGATGTTTATATCATTTACAAAATATAATTTTTTGTTTTACGAAAGCATTGGTGGTGCAACATTTCTTAAAATAATCTGTTAAAGAAATAAAAGCCATCCGTGGAACTATGTAGAGCTAATCTACCTTTGACTCCTGCTTGAAAAATGTTGAAAAATATATTTTATTGCCTACTTCCCCTCTCTCTACACCAGTTTGCTCCTTGGGATTAAAAGATTGCTCCACTCTTCTCCTTGGGGTTTCCTTTCAAGGTCTTACTCTTCTTTTTACTTTTTAGGGAATAATTATGTTCTTATCTTTCATTTCTAACACACTTAATCTAAATACATTTTCTCTAGAGAGAGCTTGTATGATTTATTGGAAAAAAGCTGCCATGAACCCAGGATTTGGGGCAGTTAGCCACACTGATCTTCAGAGAGAGCTCTATAATGGTTTTTAACCTCTGTTTTGAAATAAAATGTACATCTATTACATTTTAATGAAAGTGCAACTCCATTACTCTTAACGGAAAAAACTGCAATTACTTTTGCACCGCCTAATATTATTGTGAACATTTTGCTATTTTTATTTTATTTCACTTTTTTGAATAAAAATACTGGGTGAAGTAGTGTTTTAAAGCATTGTTAAGTATGTTGTTCATACAATGCTGCATTAAAACACATTCAGTTGCAAATTGTGGAGCATGTTTTTTGTTTTTGATAAGTCTCTTTGAAGCTTGTTTGTATTTTCATTCTAAATCCAGGATATTGGTGGGAATATAATATTATGTTGGTAGAAAACTCATTCAGATAATTATGTTACAAGCTCCTGTATGTTACATAATTCTTACTTTCAGGTGGAATTTTACTGTAACACTTACTTAAGACTGCTGGATATTGCTATTAAAGTCTTCTCTTGAGCTCCAGCAGTCAAAGCCAAGGAAACTGGCACATGTTCCTCTATAATGTAGCCTGGGAGACTCTGATATTATAAACACTCTATCGAGCAATCTTTCTGAACTCTGGAAAACAATTCAAATAACATTCAAGAGGTTACAACAATGAAAGGCAAGTCTTTTAGAACTAACATAGTAGTTTCAGAATAGAGAAAAATGTTATTTTGATTACTTCTAAACTGTTGAATTTTAAGGGATTTGCTAGTGCTTTAAAATATTTTATCTATTGCTACAAATTATGAGTTATAGCAGTACTCATGACAGAAAAAAATACCTCCAACAAATATGCATACAGGAGAAAATACTCGAAATCTGGAAAAGTCTGTGGGGCAACACCATTACCTAAAAAGTAAAACAAACATGTAATATAAATTTTACTAATGTAATTTATTTGTCCAACATACCTAAACTATTATAATTTATACATGTAACCTAATTTTAAAATAATTAATGAAGCATTATATATATATATATATATATATTCAACTAAGTCTTTGTATTATATTATATAAAATATGTCTCAATTCAGAAACATTACATTTCAAGTGCTCAAGAGCCACTGTGGCTAGTGGTAACCATATTGAACAGATGTAGGAATGTATTCTTCTCTCATTAAAAATATATATTTAGAGATAGTCTTCTTTTTGGTATAGATTGAAAAAGTGACGTAATATTGTCTCACTTCCCCAATTCCTTTACACATGTTCCTAGACAAAAGGATGCACAATACTTTCTTCAGCATTTAATTATGCATCTGGTTTCAGTATGGGCTGCACACAAAAAAATATTTTCTCCAGAATTGTAAGATTGTAAAGCAATCTTTTCTGTGAAATATTCCTGATTAGCCACCAAGCACTTTGAGTAGTTTGTCTTAGAGTGGTAATCCATCAAAATGCTTTATTTAGAAAAATTGAAGAATTAAGCAATTTATATAGAAATAATCACTTTTAAATTCCTTCTTTTACTAACAGGCAATGATAGATTGAAAATGCACTAGTTTTAGGTTCAATTCAGACAAATAGGCATGTCTAAATCCTAGTATGTTGGGATATATGAACTTGAGTGAGTTATCTAGTTTTTTGCTTGGTCTCAGTTTTCTAATTTATAAAATTTGATGGATAGCTATATTAAATAATTGCCCAAAGTCACCTATTGGTAGTAATTGGTTAAACTCATTTTTGAGTCAGTAAAGAGAACACACATACATATAAAGAGTTTAAAAATGAGTTATTCAGTAACATAAGAAAACATTTCAACAGACATAACCTGTGAAGATGTGGTTTTGTAGCAAAAAAAAAATATATAATGCTATAAATGTTCAGAGAAGGATGATCACAGTGTAAACAGGAATACACAGAAAGACATCATAATAATGGTCACATTTTTGTCTTGGTCATTTAAAAAAAATTTTGCACTGAAGATAGTGTGCCATCCAAATCGCAAAATAGCTTGAATAAATGCATTTCATCAGGAAATCACATGGTATGTTCAGAAAAAAAATAATCAGATCTACCTGACTGAACTTTTGGGAAGTACATTTAGCACTTCTGGAAATAAAGTAAATCCATATTGTAGACATAAATAATAGATTACCTATTTTAGGTTGGTGGAGATACAATAATGAAAGCAGCCTTTAAGAAAGAAATTCTAAAAATAATGTCCACATTAATTCTAATATGCTCATTTTTTTCCTGTCTTGCATTTTCATTTTTAATGTTGTTACTATTTAGAGGGTTTATGTGATTAGAACATTGAGTTTTCTATCCTTGATGGGTTCAGGTTCTGAAAATCTGCTCTGAATTAACTAAAAACAATTTTATACATAATATCTCTAATTCTACCAATAATAGTGTGTGATAGATATTATTATCCTGCTTAATATGTAAGGCAAACAAGGCATGGGAAGGTTTACAAATTTTCTCAAATTCACACTTCATAATATAATGAAGCTAGCAGGCTGACTTAAGTGAATTTGATGGCAGAGCTACTTTATCCTATCCTATGTTATTAGATGTTCCTCTATCTCTTGGACACATTTATGTTTACCATTTGTGAAACTCACATATCTATTCCTGCCTTGTTCTTAATAATTCTTAATGCATCAATGAAAAAAAAAAACAGTACGATTCAAGGGATTAATGCCCTAGACTCACCACAGGGTTAAATAATAAAAAGAAAGGTGATCATTCTCACTTCTGTAGGACAACAGCTATTCAAGAAAAGAATCTCCCACTCATATGCCCAACTGTCACAAAATGTTTAGGTTCTAATTATTTATTGCATACTTTTAAAAAATAACGATTCAATTATGGAGAAAACATTATCTAATTTGAATTTATTTCTTACATCTGTTATATTCTTATATTCAAATGTTTAAACAGGTAAATAGCATAGCATTCTATCTGCATTTTCAGATAAAATGATAGCAAAATAGCAGAATTTCACATACTGTGTAAAGGATTATTATACGTTGGCTCTTTCTATCATGGTCTGTTTGTGCAGGCTGGTTGACAAAAGATGAGTAGAATATGAGAAAAGATGAGTAGAATATGAGAAAAAATTGAAAAATTTAGTATTCTCAATAAAAGATTATAATTTTTTATTCAGACTCAGAAAGGAAAGATCAAAGAAAATTCTCAGTGTTTATTTTGGCTAAATTGTTAACTGCACTTGCTGTTTTATAAGATGAAAGAAAATGGCACTCATCATAAATGCACATTTTAGACATAGCCATATAGTCATGTGTATGTGCATAAATTGTCTGGGGCTGAATAGAAAATAAAAATCATTATCTTATTCAGTGTAATGGAAAGTATGAGTCATTCATTTCCTTCAGATGCTTGTTCTCCTCCTTTGTTTCCTATTTTAGTTAATTGTAACATCCTCCTCCTAGCCCTTCAGCTTGTAAAATATGAAATTATTGTATCTTTATAATCCTGTATCATTCAATCTATACCCTACCATTATTTCCTAAAACTTTCATGTCTCTGTACCATTTTTTGTACTATTTCCTCAGCCCAGAATTGTATCTTCTTTAATTCAACATATATGTATTATTTATCTTTTTCAGAAATATATGATATAAATTTTGACTTATGATATCTTTTCTCACAGTTTTACATAGTAAAAGTCTTTTTCCTATTTTGCATTCTGCTAGAATCATATCAGTTTAAGACCTTTAATATTTTCTATCTTAATTTATCTCACACCTCATTATATCTATTTCTTATTCCTCCTTCTGTAGTGTAAGATGCCTGAGAGGTTTCATTACGCAGCATAAAAATTCAATAACTGTTAATTGACTGGTTGAATAGTTTACTGCATTTTTCTAAAGTAGAAACTAAATGGGAGTAAACTAGACAGCTTTGGTGACTGCATTGGTTTGTTTTGTTTTCTTTTTAAATTAAAAAATATAACATCTCTAAACAGCTTTCTTACTATAAACAATAATATAATAAAGTTCAGGATAAATGATATTTAGTTCTAAATAAAGGTGTCATTTATCAGTTTATTTCTGTTATATTTAATATTGCTTGTTCAACCAGTCACTGATTAATGAGGTAATATTTGAAAAGATTCCTGTGGGATCTATTCAAAGTTGTATTTTTAGCACTTCTTTAATATTTTAAAATTATTTTCTTAATGTTAAATTCCAATTTTACCATAAATTGGTTATTCTTATATAATCTTATGTCCAAAAACCTTTAATAGTAACAAATTAACAGGTTGAAATGGCAATGACCTATGAAATGGAAAGGAACTGACAATTTGGAAAAGCAAAAGAGCAACCTACAAAGTAAAATACAATGCATAACAAAGAAACATTTAAGGAGGACTATAGAAACTATGCCTTTTGAATTTAATAACCTGTAATGGATGAAGAAAACTTTTCTATCATGTGTTTTTAAAAACTGAGATATAAATTTTACTTATCTGACATACATTTTAAACCCAATTGTTAATAATAAGAAAAAAATAGAAGAATTATGCAGCTATACTATACTTTTTCTTCCTTTTTTTCTGAAACAGCATCTAAAAGTTCCACTCCCTGACAGGGTATATGAGATTTTCAGTTTCCTGGCAGATGTACTGTCCTGAGGCAAGGCCCACAGAATTGGCAAATCTCCTCCCCTAGGCCCTGGTTTTCTTATTTCAGAAAAACATTCCAAAGACTGTGAACTCACAACAGTGGTAACATCTGTGGATATCCTTCTTGAATGCTTTGTATCAAAAAACACAATAAAGTGGCTATTTAAAATAATTTACCAATATGAAATCTAATTGAAAATATAATAAATATAGCAGAACAATGTTAATGAAGTATTTAAGAAAAGAATATAAGAAAACAGCAACTTTTTTCATCAATGTAAATTTTTGTATCTTTTTATTTCTAATTTTAATCACTGAGTATGCATAATTTCTTAAGTAATACAAGTATTTCCCTATGAAATATTTCAAAATACATAAATTGGCATTGGGGAAAAGAGACTTACAAAGGACCCACTCATTCTTGTAGTGAGTGAAACGTATCAAAGAAAACCCTAAATATTCATAATTTGGAGTGATTTGAGCCACAGTATAAATGTGGTATATATACACCATAAAATACTACCCAGCCATAAAAAAGTGAAATCCTGTCATTTGTTGCTGCATGGATAAACTACAAGGTCATGATGTTCAGTGAAAAAAGCTAGACATAAAAGGAATACCACATGATCTCAGTCATTTTTGGAATTTAAACAACCGGATCTCATAGAAGCATAGAATAGAATAATGGCTAACTGAAGTTGAAGTGGGCTGTAAAGAAGGAATGATAGTAAGAGATTGATGAAAATTATAGTTATAGGAGGAAAAAAATTCTGTGTTCTATATCACAATAAGATGACTATAGTAAACAATATTATCATGGGTATTTCAAAATAACTAGAAGAGGGGATTTTGAAGGTTCTATCCACAAAGAATAAATAAATTTTGAGGTGATGGATATGCTTAATACAATGATATGATTATTAAACAATGTATATTTGTATCAAAACATTACACTGAATCCCATAAATATCTGCAAGTATTACGTATCAAGTACAACAAAATAAATAAAATATTTCCTGTATCCCATGTCAAATGTAAATAAAAATAAGTAGGGCTGGAGAATTTGCTGAACACAAAGCAAGAACAAAGACATCTCAAAGATTGTCTAATATAACATATCAGAGGAACTAGCTCATATCAATTGTTGCCAAAATCCCTGTAGTTTTCCAAATGCAGAAACTGACCAGCTTCCAAATTTTTATTTTTTCAACACTTTAGTCAAGAGGAGACTTTTCCTGAACATGGGGTATACTTACTGTATGACAGAATGCATATCAAACATCGAATGGCATATTATGTTTCCCTTGAGCCAGTGATTGGCAAGCAAGTAATAATTAGAGGTATCAAGATGAGTTCAGAGGAGAGAACTTGCTGTCACATCTGTTTATTTTCCAAAAGTAAATACATACATATATATATACACACATACACACAGACACATATATATGTATATATACAGACACATATATATACAGACATATATATACACACACATATGTATATATATGCACAAGGAATGATACTGTAATAAAATCTTACTCTTGAATAAGAGGTCAAGAAGGAAATACAATGCTTTGTTGTGCTATTTGATAGTCCCATCTTAAATAAAGAGACTTTCATAATGTTTCTTCATGTTGTATTATATTTAACACAAAATAGATGAATAAATAAGCAAAATCAAGTATTAATTTAGGGAGGATTTGAATAAAAGGTTCTTCGTGTAGGGATAATTATTCTAGCATCGTAATTTTGTAATGAATTAAATGAACTTCATTTTTAGGCTTCTTAGCCAAAACTAGAAAAAACTTTGGTCTTATTAAAAGTCTGGTAAGAACGAAGGGAAGTTGAAGTTCCAGACATGTAAATTCCAGTGCATATGTCTTTATATTTCCTTAACCAATTTCATTCTTGTTGTAACTTGAGAAACAATGGAAGACAATTCAGTATCTTCATATAAATTCCAATACATTTATAATTTAAAAATATATATCTAAAAATTATAGCAAACACATCCTTAATGAAGGCATATATAAAATGATAAACATCAATAAATTTCTGTTATAAATATAGTTACCTTCATTTATAATCCATATCATATTGCATTCTCATTATACATGGAAAGCTTATATTGGATGTTACTTTTATTCTTTGACATCAAAGTTATACTAACATTTTACCATACCTGTTTTTGCACAAAGAAATCTATGACAATTTATTACCTCCTTTAAACTGTGTTTTCTCTGATGTTCTATGTTAGAAACTTTAATATCAATCTATGTTCAGGCTTGACCAACACTTGGAAATCTGTTTTTGTCATAGATAGAGAAAGATAAAACCAACAAATATCTCGGTGTTTTAACAGGCCAATCTTGATGATCTGGTTTTGGTATTGCTGTCATTATATTGGATTTCTTTTTTCCTGGATTCAAAATTTATTCTCTTTAATGCTGTGCTTCCCTTGCCCTATACTCTAGTTACTGGGTTTCTTCTTTTACCTACTTTGCTTTGTGTCCTCTTTGTAACTGGGTGTATTAGTGCCTAATTCATACATCCAATCATTAGAACTCCTTTATGCCTTGTGGCTGTGATATAAATAATGAAAATAAAAACTTTATTAATTTTTTTAATATGGGTGTCTTTGTTTATATGTTTTATATTATATATTTTCTATGATACCCATGACAACACCATGCTGTAGGTATTGTTGTTTCCATTTTATACACTTAATAATCGAAAAATGTATGTATTGAAAGGCTTAGCTGTTTCACTTACTGATACCTAATTGGTAAGGAAAGTTTCTCACCAATTTTTAAAGGTACTTTCCTCAGTATCAAAGTAAAAAAATGCAAACTCTTAAACCGTTAGCATTATGCACATGGACTAAAAATTTATCTGCCTCTCTTTGATTTGTCCCCGCCACTAGATTGTAGTTTTATCTTTAGCACTAACTCTGGTTAATTGGTTGAAATAACCTATAATTCTGGGTCACAAAACCTTATTTATTTAATTTTTTATTACTTTCAATTTCGAGATAATTGTAGATTCACATGCAGTTGTAAGAAACAATACAGAAAAATGCAAAATGCCCTTTACGCAATTTTCCCCAACAGTAACATTTTTTGGAACCAAATAGTACAATATCACAACCAGGAAATTGGCATTGATATAATTCACCAAACATATTCAGACTTCACCAGTTTAATTTGCACTTGTGTGTGTATGTGTGGGTATTTAGTTCTGTGCAATTTTATCACGTGTAGATTTGTGTCACTGCCATCACAGTCAAAATACAAGACAGTTCTCTTACAATAATCTCTTATGCTACCCTTTTGTAACCATGGCCACCTCCTAATTTCCTAACCCTGGTAACCACTCATCTCTTCTCCATCTCTATAATTTTTTCATTTCAAGAATATTATATAAATGTAGCCTTCTGAGGTTGACTTTTTTCAGGTATCATTTCCTTGAGATCCATTTATGTTTTTATGTCCCTCAATGATACATTCCTTTTTATTTTTGAGTCATATTGCTTGGTATAAATGTGCCACAATTTTTAAAAATTATTTTAATATGGTAGGTTTGGGTTGTCTTCAGTTTTTGGATAGTATAAATGAAGCTGCTGTAAACATTCTGTTACTTTTTTTTTATGATCATACATTTCATTTCTCTGGGCTAAATATACAATCACTGTATTGTATGAAATCCACACTGTTACTTGTGTAAGAAACTTCCATACTCTTTCCCAGAGGCTGTATTATTTTACATTCTTAACCAAAGTATATTAGTAGTTGTTTCTTTGCAATTTTGACATCATTTCCTAAGTGATATTACTATTTTTTAAAACTTTTGGTATTCTTATAGATGACTAGTTGTATTCGTTCCTTCTCACACTGCTTTAAAGAACTACCTGAGACTGGGTAATTTATGAAGAAAAAAGGTTTAATTGACTCACAGTTCTGCTGGATGTACAGAAAGCATGGCTTGGGAGGCTTCAGAAAACTTCCAATTATGGCAGAAGGAAAAGGGGAAGCAAGCACTGTCTTCACATGACAACGAGAGAGACAGAGTGAGAGAGAGAGAGGGAGAACGTGTAAGTGCTATACACTTTCAAACTATCAGATCTCATGAGAATTCATTCGGTATCATGGGAACAGCATGAGGAAAATCTGCCCTCATGATCCAATTACCTCTTATTGGGAATTACCATTCAACATGAGATTTGGGTGGGGACAAAGAGCCAAACCATATCATTCTTCCCCTGGCCCCTCCCAAATATCATGTCCCTCTCACATTTTGAAACACAATAATGCCTTCCCAACAGTCCCCTAATGTCTTAACTAATTTCAGCATTTGCCTTCCCAACAGTCCCCTAATGTCTTAACTAATTTCAGCATTAACCCGAAAATTCAAGCCCAAAGTCTCATCTGAGACAAGGCAAGTCTCTTCCACCTATGAGCCTGTAAAATAAAAAACAAGTTAGTTACTTCCAAGATACAATGGAGTTACAGACATTGGAGGTAAATGCCTCCATTCCAGATGGGATAAATTGGCCAAAACAAAGAGCTACATACCCTTTGCAGGTCTGAAATACAACAGCGCAGTCATTAAATCTTAAAGCTCCCAAATTACCTCCTTCGATTCCATGTCTCACATGCAGGGCACACTGATGCATGGGATAGGCTCCTAATGCCTTGGGAAGCTCTACTTTGGTGGATCTGTGTGGTGCAGCCCCCATGATTGCTTTAACAGGCTGGCATTGAGTGCCTGCAACTTTTATAGGTATGTGGTACAAGTTGTCAGTGGATCTACAATTCTTGAGTCTGGAGAACAATGGCCCTCTTCTCACAGCTCCACTAGGTAGTTCCGCAGTGGGGACTCTGTGTGTGGGCTTTGACCCCACATTTTCCCTCCACATGGCCCTAGTAGAGTTCTCCATGAGGTCTGCACCTGGGCAGCAGACTTCTGCCTGTATATCCAGGCACTCCCATACACTCTCTGAAATCTAGGCATAGACTCCCAAACCTCAAGTCTTGCTTTCGGCACCCCTGCAGACCCAAACCACATGAAAGCTACCAAAACTTGGGACTTGCACCATCTGAAGAAATGGCTTGAGCTGTACCTTGGCCCCTTTTAGCCATGGCTGGAGCTAGACCAGCTGGGATGTAGGGCACCATGACCTGAGGCTGCACAGAGCAGTGGGGCCCTGAGCCTGGTCCATGAAGTCATTTTTCCCTCCTAGGCCTCCATGCCTGTGATGGGAGGGGCTACTGCAAAGGTCTCCACAATACCTTGGAATCATTTTCCCTGTATCTTGGTCATTAACATTTGGGTCCTTATGTAAGTTTCTGCAGCCAGCTTGAATTTCTTCCCAGAAAATGTTTTCTTTTCTTTTCTACCACATAGACAGGCTGCAAATTTTTCAAACTTTTATGCTGTGCTTTTCTTTTAAATATAAGTTCCAGTTTCAGATAATGTCTTGGTTCATGCATATGATTGTACACTGTTAGAAGCAGCAGGTCACATCTTGAATGCTTTGCTGTACAAAATTTCTTCTGCCAGATACCCTAAATCATCTCTCTAAAGTTCAATGTTCCACAGGTCTCTGGAGCAGGGGCTTAATGCTGCCAGTCTCTTTGCTAAAGCTTGGCCAAGAGTAACCTTTACTCCAATTCCTAATAAGTTCCTCATCTCCATCTAAGACCACCTCAGCCTAATTTCATTGTTCATACAGATATCAGTATTTTGGTGAAAACCATTCAATAAGTCTCTAGGAAGTTTCAAGCCTTCCCTAATCCTCCTGTCTTCTTTTGAGCCCTCCAAACTGTTACAACATCTGTTATTTTGTTCCAGATTTGCTTCCACATTTTCAGGTATCTTTATAGCAATGCCTAGCTTCTCTGGTATCAATTTTCTGTATTAGTTTATTCTCACAGCGCTAGAAAGAACTATCTGAGACCGGGTAATTTGTGAAGGAAAAAAGATTTAATTGGCTCACGGTTCTAGAGGCTGTAAAAGAAGTATGACTGGGGAGACCTCAAAAAACTTATAATCATGGTAGAAGGCAAAGGGGAAGCAAGCACTGTCTTCATATGGTGGCAGGAGAGAGAGAGAGAGAGAGAGAGCAAAGGAGGAAGTGCTACACACTTTCAAACCATCAAATCTTGTGACAACTCACTATCCTGAGAGCAGCATGGGGAACATTCACCCTCATGATCCAATCAACTCCCACTAGGTCCCACCCCCAACTTTGGGAATTGCAATTCAATATGAGATTTGGGTAGGGACACAGAGTCAAACCATATCACTAGTGATATCTCATTATGGTTGTGTTTTTCTGTCTTTTACTGGCTAATGGTATTAAACATTGTTTAATTAATCTGTCATATCTTTTTTTCTAATTGTTTCAACTTATGAATTTTCATAACTCTTTAAATATTTAAAACATAAGTTATTTGTCATATCAGTGGTTTGCAATTTTTTTTCCACTGTGTAGCTTGAGACAATAGGATTTAATGCTTTGTTTAGGTTTATATGATAGAATTCCATGACAGTTTAGCAATGTGTAGGAAGAAAACAGGGAAGAGACTTAAAAAATCCTAGTTCTCTATGTATTTGCTATTCTTATTCTAGATATTAAACATAGTCCAGACTTTGAGCATGCATACTATCTTTGCTTCTCATCTCTTACAATCTGTTCAATTGAAAAAATGTATACAAACCAAGCTTGTAATTTATTACCCAGAATAATAGACTTTGATTGTATTCTATGGTTCTAACTATATGCTCTTGCTATCAACCTTTGGAAAGTCATTTTAAAAATTGTTGCATTGAACATCTTAATAGAAAATCACTGATACAGGTTTTACCAATGTAATCCAAAATAATTTATAAGTGATTGTTAAGTTCATTAACACTTGTAAAACATATGTGTATACTATTATTTAATGCTGGATTTTATTTAGTATATTCTTGTGACGCAGTTCAGCCAGTTTTTATGATAGAATTGTATTTGGGTTAAGTTGTTATAAAATTTATTTTAAAGAGTCTTTTTTTTCTTTTTTGTGTGACTAAACAACACGATAAAAGAAAGCCCAACATATTCTTCCTTCCTTATCAGCTATAGCCAGGAGTATTCTTAAATTTGAGCCTGAGTTGATGGTCTAATGTTAATATTTTCAGAATCGTGCAGTTATGTGCTCCTAGAAAGAGGAAGACCCCACCACATGTAGTACATAAAAGTAATTTCCTAAATCTGAGCCCTTATATGTAGGAGTGATGGAAAAAAAATTCCATTAAGTCCCCCTCCCTAAATACTAAGATAATACCAAATACTTACTTTGAGCTTGATTCAAACGATCTGTTTATACATGCTTTCAAAATTGATCGATGACCACATATGTATGATGGTAATAAATCTAAACATTTTTTTTCTGGAAATGAAGTCTTGGTCTTCACATGCAAAACTACTTAGTGAAATGGTCACCTCTTAGTGAAAGGATAGAGGAAATGAGGACAATCTTTGCTAGGCACTTCTTCCTCTCTATCCTCTTTACTTTTTCCTACTAATTAGCAGATTGTGTTTGTTTTTAATGTGTCATTTTGCCTGCATAGAGAGAATTACAGACATTAATTTGGAGGCCAGCTGTGAGGTCAAGGTAAAAATGCCCTTCAATATGTGTCCCCCTTATGGCCATTCTCCAGTTGCTTCCTTACGATGAGGGTGCCGGCCATTAGCTCACATTGTATAACATACGCTAGGCAATCAAGTCTTATACCTGGATAATACTTTCTGGGGTAAACTTCTCAATCCAGGCACATGAATTTCATTTTGTCAGCTTGAAGAGAGAGATCATGGTTCAAAACAAAGAAAGATTTACCTAAGCTTCTGATGTGAAAAATGACACAGTTCTGCTCAAAGATTTTGCTCCTTCAATTCAAATGAGAAGTCATTCCTTTTAAATAAATAAATAAGCATATGTGAATTTTTTCTCCTATTCTTAAGCAATAGATAAAGATAAATAGAAAATTATAATTGTAGTCAGAAGCATTTCTGTTTAAATTTCTATTTATAAAAATCTGATATTATGATAATATTGTTAGCAGTGATTATCTCTTCAAAATGGAATATATAGCACTTCATTAACATGTGAATTTTCACAGCGAGGTAAATGTTAGTTTTAATTAGGTAGTATAATAAAAGTGAAAAAAGCAGAAAACTTATATTTTAGAATATGAACTTCAAGCTTCATTCTTTAGTTAAGTGTTTTTTAACATTTCAAATTTTTGCCAAACTATGGGAAAGACAATTTGGTGTGAAATGTTCCCAAAGGACTTAATCCATAGGTCATCTGAAAGCACATTTACTTTGAAGAGCAAATTCATGTGAGAGGATTTATTCAACTAAAATATAATTTAAATTACAGAACAAGTATATTACTCCTAAGAGGTATTTTATTCATTTTAAATTTCAGAAGATGAGGTTAATTAAATCATGTTGCTTTAACTGGTTTACTGGTAAACTAAATGTAAAATGCTTTACCTTATAATATTCAATATAATAACCACAACAAAATGAATTTAAAATATTTTTACAAATCTTTGTGTGGTGTACCTGCAGACACATTGCATGAGACATTTAAAATCACCTGTATTTTAATTCATGTCAGATTCCCATCATTCTAAATTTTCTAGAAGACAGTGAAACATATTAAAATATTTGAACAACATCAATGTAGCTACAGAACCCCTGAAATTAAGGCAGGCCATCTGGATCCCATTTTGAGCTTTATTTGGAATGCAAATCTTAAAAAGATAGGTTATCTATTTTTCTAGTTTACTGTAGATTAGAAGTTGCAGTTAGATTAAAAGCAACAAACTAGATGTGGGAGGAGGTAGTGAATGGGGGTGGTTAGAGGTATTCTGACAGCATTGAGAAGTTGGAGCTGGCAGTCTGACATTGAGGGATACAGAAACTCCCAAGCATATGCAGAATGTGCTGTGGTTTTAGCACAGAACAAGAATGGAGGTACATAATGATGGTGATGAGTCATGAAGAAAACGACTACATTATGTGCTGTGTCCTCTGTTAGGGAAGGAAGTAAAATGTACTCTGTGCTTTTTGGAAGAATTTCTATCAAAACAAACAAAAAAAAGTGAAAATGAATCATCAGCACCCGATGGAACAAACTTCATTTATCTAGACTATTCAGTCCTATAAAATGTGGCTTCATGATAAAATCACTCTGATTCTCCTAGGGTTTTATCCTGGAACAAATTGAGACTGTAAAACTATACAAGTCCTAATCTACCAAAAATCTGGTTTGGAATTAAAGTTTCATTCTTTAGTTAAGTGTTTGACTTTGGACAATGGAGTCTATTTGAAGTTGAGTGTTCATACATCTGTAAATGCCAGTTTTGCATTTGTCGTGAGGTTTCATTGCAAACCTAAAGGGAATATGGAATTGAAAGTGAAGTCACATATGATAAAGGAGTATTACTAATAATCCTTCTAAGCTTCTGTTGATAACTGAGAGCATCTGGGATTTTGGAGTAATTTTTTTAAAGAACAAGATCTAACAAACTTGCTGAATTTAAGCATACTTTATTTTCTAAGGCTCTTACTTGGATATCATGTAAAGTACCAGTTGGACTCCAGGTCAGATACCCATCACCTTAAACACTCTGAAAGATAATAGAACACGTGCAAATGTACACAGCCTCAGAGCAACTTAAACAGAACCACAGAATCTCTGAAATTAAGAGACCCTCAAGCCCTCTCTCTGAGCTCTGTTGGACTCTAAATCTTAAAAAGCTGGTTTATCTGTTTTCTATCTTATTGCAGATTAGAAATCACAAACCAGTAGTTGGAGGAGGTAGGGAGGGGCAGCTGTTAAATACATTCTGATGGCATTGAGAAGTTACAGCTGACAGCCTGACATTGAGCAATACAAAAACTGCTTCAAACTCACACATTACCATATGGAGGAGATAAAAAAGAATTAGAACCACACATAATTTCCAAAGATACCTCAATTCATCTCATTCCTTTAACATGACTTCCTTGTGAAATTTTTCAATGTTTTACCTTAGGCATTGAGATTGGGATAGTCAGTCCAGTGGATGAGGATTTCATACAGAGGCCAGTTGAAGACAAATAGGAACTGAACTTACATTTAAAAATCATGGAATGGAGATTGAGTCCTGTGACTGGTGTGCAAAGGCCAGTCATAACAACTTTGGTTGATAAAGCTGGGAGACTGGTAGAACATTCTCAAATTTGCAGGAAGAACACACACATAAAACTAGTGAGAAAGAAGTCAATTAAATACGTGATTCTCCTTGCATTTGGAGTTTTTTTTTGCTATCATTACCATCACTTTTGTTTTTCCCATTATGAGAGTACTAAAAAAATTATGTTATTGAAAATTAAATCTGAGTTACATAACTGTAGTGAGATGCCAAAGGGAGGATTTGCACTCCATATTCACACTTAACTGGTATCAGTGCTGCTCAGTAGAACTGTCTGCAGTGAAGTAAATTCTGTATCTGTGTTGTTTATTAATGCATGTAGCTATATTAGCCACATGTAGCTACTGGGCATCTCAAATGTGCCTGGTATGATCAAGGAAGCAATTATTAATCTTTAGTTAATATTGTTTAATTTAAGTTTAAATTAAGTGGCCAGATGTCACTTGTATTTATGCTATTGGACAATACTGGTCATCATGATTTTTAAACATCAAAACAATTCAAATGAATGGAAAGGTGTTAGGATCCAAAAACATGTAAGATAGTCTTTGTGTAAACTTATTCAATGTAAAAATCTCAAAAAAATCTGAGAGGCTATTTATTGTAGCTGAGTGTAAGGAAAATGGTATCAAATACTGCAAAAGTAGTTCTCTCCTCATTTTGATGCCTGCCCCGAAACTGAGTACTATTATCAGGGCACCAGGGGAATCACTGAGGCATTGATGTAGATGTTTATGCAAGAGAAAGATCTATTGGGATTTAGAATGAAAACATTTTTTTCCTCAAGATAAAGGCAGCAGAGAAAAAAATTTTAGAAAGCAAGTGATCTCAGGAAGAACACTATTTATTTTAATAATAAACTTTATTATCTCAGACAGGTATAGCTGATGTTGGAGGAAAGTAATAAAGAATTCCTTTCAGAGACAAAAATAGAAAACCAGGTCTCTGTTATTCCTCCTAGAATTAAATAAAGCATGAAAATAGATGTTTAATTAAGTTTAAAAGAATACTTTTTAATAAAAAAATCAAAATATGAGACTTAATATTTATAAATTTAATTTGTAATAATAAATACATAAATTTATATAGTTCTTCAATTTACTAAATGTATATAAATGAAATTGTTTATATTTTTTGTTATAATTTGCTTTGTTTGCTTATATTAAGTATTATAACATGGCAACAATTTAAAGAGCCATTACTTCTAATGGTGAAAACTGCAATTACTTTTGCATCAAGCTAATAACTTTAAAGTGAATGCTTTTAAGACAAAAATATGTTGTATAGGCAATGAAATTATTTAATAAAACATGAAGTGCCTTGATAGTAAGCTAGGAGAGAATGTGACTAATTTTAATGTGACATGGTTTTCTAGGCTTATATAAAACACATTTGTCTCATTTATAATATCTTCTCATCTCCTCTGTCTCCTAATTTTGAAAACGTGTTCATCATATATTTAAGGACTAATACGTACCTGTGCTACATTTCAGAGAAATATACATGGGGCTAATGATACAATTTAGGTTATCACATTTTAAACCAGGGTATCATTTCTTCTACAATGATGACTATATTGTATCAGGTAATAAACTAAGAACAATTAAACTGATCGAGTTAATATTGATTCTTTGTTGATTCTATTTTATCTTAAAGTTGTTAGTGTCTCTTAAGAGTACATAGGAAGTGAAAATCTTTAATTAAAAAACAATCACAAAAAGTAGGATAAGACATCAATACATTGATTATACCTACTATCTCAATTTATTTACCTTATATAAAGGATAAGCTAAAGAAAAGTAAACGTTCAGAAGAAAGCAATGACTTTTTAAAAAGTGTTAATTTCTGAAAGGATAATCTGTTTTTGAAGGACCACATACTTTTATTAAACCAAAGTTTAAGTGATGATACTACGAAGTAATGTATTTCCTCCTTGAAAGTGGTGATAGATTGTAATATGTAATGGTTTGCATGCCACAAAACAAAGTTCTGTCTTCCATAAGCACAGAAAAGCTTATTTATTTTTATTTTTATTTTTATTTTTATTTTTTTAGATGGAGGCTCTGTCTCTGTCACCCAGGCTGGAGTGCAGTGGTGCGATCTTGGCTCACTGAAACCTCTGCCTCCTGGGTTCAAGTGATTCTCTTGCCTCATCCTCCCCAGTAGCTAGGATTATACTTGCCCGCCACCACACTAGGCTAATTTTTGTACTTTTAGTAGAGACAGGGTTTCACAATGTTGGCCAGGGTGTTTTTGAATTCCTGACCTCAGGTGATCTACCCGCCTCGGCCTCCCAAAGTGCTGAGATTACAGGCATGAGCCACCGCCACCGGTCATAAGCACAGAAAAGCTTTAACTCAAGGAAGTAACATTAATCTTTTTAAGTACTAAGTTCTTTTAGAAATATTTTATCACATTTCCAAAAAGAGTGATCTTTTCTCATTACCTTACACCTTTTTGTTGGTGGGTTTAAGCAAAATCATTATTAAAAGAACACAGTGTTTTTTATTTAAAACGTTATCAGCTTAAAAAATGAAATACCTTAAAACAGACAAAATCCTCTCATTCAATGTAATATGGAATAATATTTTTTATTAAAACCAAAAGAGTTATGTTTTTCTTAGCATTCCCCACCAAGAAATTTCTTTCAAATTCTTTAAGTCTTTTTAAGTCAAACATTTGAGTTGTACTGTAACATGGACTACAATAAGATACTCAGTGAGACTGAATGGAAATGTAGAAAGTATTTATTATTATTGAATGAACCATTATTTATTGCCTATACTACTGCACATTGCATCCTAATAGGTGCACTGGGTGTGTCAGTCAATAAAACATAGTTCAATAGGTATGAAGTTTCAGTTATGCAAGATGATTAAGTTTTAGAGACCTACTTTATGACATTGCACAAATAGTTAACAATACTCTATTGTATACATAAAAATTTGTTGATAGTGTAGTACTCACAGTAAGTGTTTTTACCATGATAAAACAAAACAAAATAACAGCAGAATAACCTCACAATGTTATTTCTTCAAAATTTAGGAATTTAGCAGTTGTCTAAAAGATGAAAAATTTGGAATGTGAGGTACATGGGAAATATAGTAGAAAAGGGGTTTGGAAGGTATATTGGAAGGCCCAATTGTGATATGTTTACATAAATTTAGGTAATATCATATATTTACAAAGAACTTTTTCACCGAAACATGGCTAGTGATGTACACTGTATTTTAAGACTTCATTATTGATTATGATGGAAAAGATGAGTGGAAAGACAAGAACATGCAGACCACAGGGTCTATTAATAGTCTTACTATAATAGGCATGACAAGACAAGCCTCTTGACTTAGTTAATGTCAGTGGAATTGCAAAGAGATATTCAAATGACCCTACACATTTAGAAACTTAAGAAGACAAAAATTCTGAGGGATTCTGAATACTGATTCACTCAGTATCAGCCATGAAAATAACAATAACAAAACTATATAATATTAAAGATAGGATTATTTAAATCAAAAGTGAATTCCTCTATAAATGATGACATGAGGCATCCTGAAATGAATCCTTTATGTTGACTTACTGTGGTTTCTGATTTTTTATGGTCTCTTATGAAGGATGATGGATGCAGTAGTCCTGTGCCCAAGAAACTAAGGTTATTATTTTTTAAAGAAGACTAGTCATGAGCAGTAGTGAGAAGGGGAAAGGATAGAACAAAAAGTTTGACCTGTAACAGACTGAGTAATCAATTGCGATAACTCACTACCTTCAAATCAGTCCAAGATACTAAGATTTCAAGGCAAGTCTATCAAAATTTATATTAATAAAGTTGAAATGAATAGGTTATGAAAAAGATGTTTAGATAAATCACAATTTTGCTTCTCAAAATTAATGAACATTTATAAATGTACATAATATATACGTGTATATTAGATATATTACATATAATTTATAATATGTAATATATACACGATATATAATGTACATATATTACATTCTATTCCATATACATATGTGTATATATGCATATAAATATACACGTGTGTTCACATACATATTTGTAGATATATGTATATATGTACATATATATTTTGTGTATATATGTGTATATGTACATATATTTTGTGTATATATATGTATATACACATATACATATATGTGCACATATGTATATATGTACATATATATTTTGTGTATATATATGTATATACACATATACATATATGTGCACATATGTATATATGTACATATATATTTTGTGTATATATATGTATATACACATATACATATATGTGCACATATGTATATATAGTAGAAAATCTTAGGGTCAGAAAATGACTTTTTTCTATAACTTAAAAAGCATTAAAATTAAATGCATGAATAAATGCTTATAAACTAAAAAGAAAGGCAGAGAGGGTAATAGTGAGAAACCTCAAAACACCCAACTAATCTCTGAAATCTTGATTAAAAAGAATGCCCTATAAGTCATGTATATTTGAATTATGTCAGCTTTCAAATTGATGATTTCTCAACCCAGATTTTTAATATAATTATATCATACTAAGTTTAAGAACATAGCAGGAAGTCTATGAAAACTGGAACAAATTCTACTTTTTTTGCATTTTTGAAACCATAATATGTATGATGTGAAGTAAAATTTAGATACTTTTGCTGCAGACATATTAGCTTCTATTTCTGAAGAAAAGTTATAAGGAAACAAGGAAATTTAAGAAACATTTGAGGAGAAAATGGGCTCTGCTTGCTTTAAATTTTAACTCATCTCTACAACATGGCAAACTAATTAAAATCCTGGCTTTAATAAACTTAATATTAGATTATACCAGAGAAGTAAATATAAATTTTTTTTGAGTCAGACAAATTTGAAGGTTAAATCAATAAACAATTGCAATTGTCTTTATGTTATAGTCTAAATAAAATTTTTAAATTACCCTGATTTATGTATGTGCATGTTTTTCCTTGCAGTACTTTTTTTCTTGATATTCCATTGTTTCTTTGGATAGAAAAAAAAATTAAGTTGGAAAGCTCCAACTAAACAAATCATAAAATAAATGATCAGTTTTATTTTTCTTAGCAATTTTTTATTTCTTTTAACTTGTTTAACAATTTATTTCTTCTTTTTCTGCATTGCTCTTTGATTCAAAATTTGTGTTTTTTCCTTTCCTATATTTATAAAGTGTTATTAAAGAATTCTATGAATATTTAGGTATTAAATCATTTTATAATATCTTTGTTCATTTATTTCAGACACTAAACCCAGAAAAGCAGCCTATTACAAGAGTTTCACATCAATGATAAGTCTTATATAGTTCATGACCATAATGGGGAAAAGTTTCCATGTGATCAATGGTAAGCAGGTGAACAATTATCATTATTTTCAATGGATGCTGTGCTGTGATTTCTATCCTATTGAACATAAATTTACTTTTTGATCATTTTAAATGCCCCAGGGAAATAATGCACAATTGATATATTTACTTTTCCTCTTGCAATTGAATAAGCATACAATTTATAAATTAAAAGTATGGATTATTCATTATATTTGAATGGTTGACTCTTAAATTTAAAGAGTTTTTTTTCACATTAATACAATATATAGTAGGAAAAAAGAAGGCAGGTGTATTAGTCTGTAATCACACTGCTAATAAAGACTTATTAGAGACTGGGTAATTTATAAAGGAAAAGAGGCTTAATGGACTCACAGTTCCACATGGCTGGGGAGGCCTCACAATCATAACAGAAAACAAAGGAGGAGCAAAGTCATGTCTTACATGGCAGCAGGCAAGAAAGAATGAGAGCCAAGCAAAAGGGGAAACTCTTTATAAAACCATCAGATCTCATGAGACTTATTCACTACCACATGAACAATATGGGGAAACTGCTCCCATGATTCAATTATCTCTCACTGAGCTTCTTTCACAACACATGGGAATTATGGGAGCTGTAATTCAAGGTGAGATTTGGGTAGCGACACAGCCAAACTATGCCATTCCAACCCAGCCCCTCCCAAATCTCATGTCTTCACATTTCAAAATCAATCATGCCTTCCCAACAGTCCCCCAAAGGCTTAACTCATTTCAGCATTAACTCAAAAGTCCACAGTCCAAAGTCTTATCTGAGACAAGTCCCTTCTGCCTATGAGCCTGTAGCATCAAAAGCAAGTTAGTTACTTCCTAGATATAATGGGGGTATAGGGATTGGATAAATACACCCATTCCAAATGAGAGAAATTGACCAAAATGAAGGGGCTAAAGGCCCCATGCAAGTCCAAAATCCAGCAGGGCAGTCAAATCTTACAGTTCCATAATGATCTCTTTTGACTCTATGTCTCACATTCAGGTCATATTGATGCAAGGGATGGGTTCCCATTGTCTTGGGCAGCTCAGTTCCTGTGGCTTTACAGGGTACAGCCTCCCTCCCAACTGCTTTCACTGGCTGGTGTTGAGTGTCTGTAGCTTTTCCAGACACATGTGCATGCTGTTGGTGATTCTACCATTCTGGGGTCTGGAGGACGGTGGCCCTCTTCTCACAGCTCCACTAGGCAGTGTCCCAGTGGGGACTCTGTGTGAAAGCTTCAGCCCCACATTTTTCTTCTGCACCACCCAAACAGAGGTTCTCCATGTGGGCTCCACCCCTGCAGCAAAGTTCTGCCTGGACATCCAGGCATTTCCATACATCCTCTGAAATCTAGGTGGAGGTTCCCAAACTTCATTTCTTGACTTCTGTGCACCCACAGGTTCAACCTTATGTGGAAAGTGCCAATGCTTGGGGCTTGCACCTTTTAAAGCTAGAGCCCAAGCTGTACCTTGACTCCTTTTAGCCATGGCTAGAGTAGCTGGAATGAATGACACCAAGTCCCTATGCTGTACACTGCAGGGGGGCCCTGGGCCCAGCCCACAAAACCATTTTTTCCTCCGAGGCCTCAGGGCATGTGATGGGAGGGGCTGCCACAGAGATCTCTGTCATGCCCTGGAGACATTTTTGCCATTGTCTTGGGGATTCGAATTTGGCTCCTTGTTACTTATGCAAATTCCTGCAGCTTGAATTTCTCCTCAGAAAATAGGTTTTTCTTTTCCATTGCATTGTCAGGCTGCAAATTTATGAACTGTTATGCTCTGTTTCCCTTTTAAAACTAAATGCTTTTAATGACACCCAATTCAGCTCTTGAATGCTTTACCCAACTGCTTAGAAATTTTTTTCTACCAGACACCCTAAATCATCTCCCTCAAGTTCCAAGTTTCATAAATCTCTAGGGCAAGAGCAAAATGTTGCCAGTCTATTTGCTAAAATATAGCAAGAGTCACCTTTACTCTAGGGCCCATGTTCCTCACCTCCTTTTGAGGCCACCTTAGCCGGGATTTCCTTGCCCATATCATTATCAGTATTTTTTGGTTAAAACTATTCAACAAGTCTTAGAAAGTTCCTAACTTTCCCACATTTTCCTGTTTTCTTCTGAGCCTTCCAAACTTTTCCAACACTTGCCTGTTACCTAGTTCCAAAGTTGCTTCCACATTTTTGTGTATCTTTACAGTAGCACCCCACTCTACCAGTACCAATTTACTGTATTAGTTCATTCTTACACTACTAATAAAGACATAGCCAAGACTGAGTAATTTATAAAGAAAAAGAGGTTTAATGGACTCACAGTTCCATGTGGCTGGGGAGGCCTTACAATCATGGCAGAAGGCAAAGGAGGATCCAAGTCACATCTTAAATGGCAGCAGGCAAGAGAGTGAGAACCAAGTGAAAGGGGAAACCCCTTATAAAACCATCAGATTTCATGAGACTTATTCACTACCACTAGAACAGTATGGGGAAACTGTCCCCATGATTCAATTATCTCCTACCGGGTTCCTCCCACAACACATGAGAATTTTGGGAGCTACAATTCAAGTAGAGATTTGGGTGGGGACACAGACAAACCATATGAGTAGGATATTTAATAACTAGATACAGACACAGAGCAGATTAAACTGCATTACTCTATATTTTACAATCTTGACAATGCGCTTGTTTTATTACATTTTAAATCATTCACAAACAAATACCTTCTGAAGTGATTTTTTACATCTAAAGTCATTTCTCAATCAAATATCTTCTGTTTTACTTTTGGAGAAAGAAATAACTATAAGGTGTAAGGAAGGGATCCAGTTTCAGCTTTCTACATATGGCTAGCCAGTTCAATTCAAGATGGATTAAAGACTTAAACGTTAGACCTAAAACCATAAAAACCCTAGAAGAAAACCTAGGCGTTACCATTCAGGACATAGGCATGGGCAAGGACTTCATGTCCAAAACACCAAAAGCAATGGCAACAAAAGACAAAATTGACAAATGGGATCTAATTAAACTAAAGAGCTTCTCCACAGCAAAAGAAACTACCATCAGAGTGAACAGGCAACCTACAAAATGGGAGAAAATTTTCACAACCAACTCATCTGGCAAAGGGCTAATATCCAGAATCTACAATGAACTCAAACAAATTTACAAGAAAAAAACAAACAACCCCATCAGAAAGTGGGCAAAGGACATGAACAGACACTTCTCAAAAGAAGACATTTATGCAGCCAAAAAACACAAGAAAAAATGCTCATCATCACTGGCCATCAGAGAAATGCAAATCAAAACCACAATGAGATACCATCTCACACCAGTTAGAATGGTAATCATTAAAAAGTCAGGAAACAACAGGTGCTGGAGAGGATGTGGAGAAATAGGAACACTTTTACACTGTTGGTGGGACTGTAAACTAGTTCAACCTATTGTGGAAGTCAGTGTGGCGATTCCTCAGGGATCTAGAACTAGAAATACCATTTGACCCAGCCATCCCATTACTGTGTATATACCCAAAGGACTATAAATCATGTTGCTATAAAGACACATGCACACGTATGTTTATTGTGGCATTATTCACAATAGCAAAGACTTGGAACCAACCCAAATGTCCAACAATGATAGACTGGATTAAGAAAATGTGGCACATATACACCATGGAATACTATGCAGCCAAAAAAATGAGTTCATGTCCTTTGTAGGGACATGGATGAAATTGGAAGTCATCATTCTCAGTAAACTATCGCAAGAACAAAAAACCAAACACTGCATATTCTCATTCATAGGTGGGAATTGAACAATGAGATCACATGGACAAAGGAAGGGGAATATCACACTCTGGGGACTGTGGTGGGGTGAGGGGAGGGGGGAGGGATAGCATTGGGAGATATACCTAATGCTAGATGACGAGTTAGTGGGTGCAGCGCACCAGCATGGTACATGTATACATATGTAACTAACCTGCACAATATGCACATGTACCCTAAAACTTAAAGTATAATAAAAAAAAATAAAGATACTTAAATATTAAAAAAAAAGAAATAACTAAAAATAATTATTATGAAGGAATCATTCAAGATCTCTTCATACATATAAAGTAAAATATTATTTAATATTTTTAGTTCATTATCTACTCTTTATACAAATGATCATTAATATTATTTACAGTAGGCTTACCTTATTTTGCTAGTGTACTTAATTTGATAACAATTATCTCAATAATTAAAACATTTGTGTCTTTTGACTTACAAACTATGTCTAGATATGATGCAAATTTTAATTCATGGTCCTAAGCTGTCATATAAAATGCTTCATGTCCTAAAGTAGCCATAGTAATAAATCAGTGTACAAGTTAGGTAAGTTTATTTACCCTGCAGTGTGCATATTCTAGTGGATTTGGACAACCATTTTAGTAACAGCTTTTCATTCATGTCTTCTCAGTCTTTTCATCTGCCATCAAGCATCTATTGCTTTTATATCCATTATAAGTTATACAATCTCTTCATAAACAAAACTCAATTAAAATCCCAAGTCATTCATCCATTTATCTGTTGATTGATGAAAAGGTTGATTCCATATCTTGTCTATTGTGAATAATGTAGAAATAATCATGGGAATGCAGATGTCTTCTTTGATACATTGGTTTTCTCTCTCTTGAATATATACCCAGCAGTAGGATTGCTGGGTCATAAGTAGTTCTATTTTTAGTTTTTTTGAGAACTTCCATACTGTTCTCTTTAGTGGTCATGTGGTACATATACACAATGGAATATTATTCGGCCATAAGATAATAAAATTCTGTCATTTGCGAAAACATAGATAGAACTGGAGGACATTGCATGTTTTCACTCATGTATAGTAGGTAAAAAAATACAATTTAACACTTAAAGATAGAGAGTAGAATGATAGTTCTCAGAGGATAGGAAGGGTAATGAGGAGAGGGGAATAATGAGGGGATGGTTAATGGGTACAAAAATACAGTTAGAAATAACAAGATCTAGTGTTTGGTAGCACAATAGGGTGACAATCATTAACATTAAATTATTGCATATGTCAAAACAATTGAAAGATTGAAATTGGAATATTCCTAATACAAAGAAAAAAAAATTTGAGGTGATGGATACCCCAATTACCCTGAATTGATCATTACACAACATATGCTTGTATAAAATATCACACATATACCATTAATATGTACTATTATGTGTCTATAATAATTATAAATAAAAACATAAAATAAAATGAAATAAAATCTCGTCAAGTCATTACACTTGGAAGAGGATCCACAAGAAGAGACGTTAAGAGCGTATATGAACATATGAGTAAAATATTTACTTGCTCATTACCGCATGTATTCATTCAGCTAATATTTATTTGGAGTATATTTTCTGCTGAACATTCTTCTATCCATTGGTGAATAAATCAGTGCCAGTTAAGTCTCGTTATCTTTCAATGTGTATATTATAGTATATCTATACCACCACTATAGCAGAGTTTTCATTCACAGCTGTCCAACAGTCATAATTTCATATTTTATAGTTTCCTACAATTTGTATATATGTCGTTCCCACAGTGTGTGTATATGTTTGTATTTAGGCATACACACACACACACACACACACACACATATATATATTTATGTTTATAAATTTGTGTTTATAAATGTGTATGGACATCAATATATCTATATTTCTATCCTTCCGTCTATCTGACCTCCCTCACCTCTGAATTGTAAATGTTCCACATATTTGGAATGTTAAGCTCCAAACATTTCACTTACAATTTAAAACTTTATTAAAAATGAAAAAATGCAAATCGCAAAACATAATTTTTAGTTTCTTTTAAAAAAATTTTGAATATGTAATACTTATCTATATGTATTGGGTACATGTGATATTTTGATACAAGCATATTATGTGTAATTATTTAATCATGGTAATAAAGATATCCATCACCTATAACATTTATCATTCCTTTGTGTTAGAAACATTCCAATTTCTATTTTTTAGTTATTTTAAAACATACAATAAATGATTCCTAACTATTGTCACTCTATTGTGCTACTGAACACTAAGTCTTATTCTTTCTATCCAACTGGTGGGTCAGTTTAGTAGTTTGGTTTTAATTCTTCTCAGAGCAAAGAACAGGCTAGAATATCTTCAGTTCCTAAAATTTATGATAGCTAGTTAGCTAGATATGGGTAATATCTAGATAGATATAGATGAAAAGAGAGTTTTCCTTATTCTGTTTAAAATTGGTACAATGGATTCCACTGTGTTGTCTGAAAATACCAGCTAGTATTTTAATTGGTTTAAGAAGTGGAGTATTGTACCAGCTTCTACAAAATAGCCATGGCCTAATTAAAAGGGTAGAGAATTTTCATATGAACTTAGCTACTTCATTTTGTAAAGCTGATAAACTGAGTTTCCTAGTGAACATATTTGTTGCAGCTGTCACGTTCTGTATGTTGACCAGTCAAACAAAGTGCCAACCAATGCTATAGCAATGCTAGAAATAATGAAGTCTAAATCTTGGTATAATTTGGCTCCATGTTGTCAGATTCAACAAAATCCAGCAAGAGACAGTAAACCAATTGAACTAATCTAAAAGCAGAGATGGAAGGAAATACAGTTTAGTGAATGGAGAGATTTACTACGCTCCCAGTTAGAAACTACAAAAGGTAAAAAAAAAAAAAAAAAAAAAAAGTTCTATATGTAAAGTGAGAAGGCCTGGGAGCTGCAACCTAAGTAGAAAGTCAAACTAGTACCTGCAACACAAATGCGATGAGCCTGTTGGCAAAGGCAATGAGTCTATTGGAAAAGATAATTTAGCTGGTTTGGTTCCACACACACAAGTTCATTATTTAATAAAGTTTCAGCCTAGTAGCCACTAAGTTGAGGAAAAGGGACGTAGATGCAGCTTAGAGGCCTATAAGTAAAGTATTATTGTCTTCAGGCTTAAAAACTATACGTAGAGAGTACTAAATGGTGAGATTATCTGGAAGAAAATAAACTGGGAGCCTTATAAGTTTTTGCTAAAACAGCACTACCAAAAACCCCAAAACCTGACCTGAAACTATCTGTATATATTAAATTATTAAAAGAATGCTTAGAATGCCCAAGTTTAATCTTTAAGATCTCAATTACTAAAGCTGTGCAGACTCTAAAAATGATGTATTCTTTCTGCTCACCTCATGGTCATGAAAGATAATGAGTAAAGAATAAATTCCTTGATAGTAATGCTATGCAAGAAGCATGTTTCACTGCAAGAGTAGGGGACTGAAATATTACCTATGAGAGATATTACCTAGAATATTTTCTCTTTTCCCCTTTCCTAAGTTGGATATTTTATCCCTAGTATTCTATTACATCTTCACAGCATGTATTACATATAGCTTATTGTGTATACTAGTGACAAATAACTTGGCTTTTTAATTACAAGATCAGCAGTCCTCAGATTTGAACTTGATTGAAAAAATTGAACATCACTCGGATATCCTTGACCTTGAATATGGAGTCAAATACTGAACTTGATAGGGCAATTATATTTATCTTTCTTAGAAAGCCAATGAGTGTGTGTCATGCATAGAAAAAATATGGTATAAATTTTGTGGAAACCAAAGGGATGGATTCGGAGAAAAACAAAACAAAACTGTCCATATCTATTTTTATTTTTTAACAATATAACGTTTTATTCAGAGCGACAACGCATCCAGCTCTAACACAACATTTCTCAGCCTCTTTGATGTGGGAACATGACTATACTCTGATCGGTAATGTGTAAGAGGTAATGGTATGTGGAAATTCTCACTGGGAGATGCTCAGCTGGAAAGTGAGTCGCTATCTCCCTCCTCTCTTTCCTCTTTTCTCTTGTCTCAACACAAATGTTTCCCAAAGCTGTGGCGTAGTTTTTTTTTTTTTTTGCTTTTTCTTGGGAATGAAATCCAGAGTCAAAAAGAGCCTACATTCACATTGGCTTCATGGGAATTATAAAGTGGCCTTAGATCGCTTACATCTGGACTTTTTGCTATGTGTGAGATAAATAAACCAGAGTCATATTTAAAACATTATAGTTTTCCATTTGTTTGTGTCTTCTCTTATTTCCTTGAGCAGTGGTTTGTAGTTCTCCTTGAAGAGGTCCTTCACATCCCTTGTAAGTTGTATTCCTAGGTATTTTATTCTCTTTGTAGCAATTGTGAATGTGAGTTCCTTCATGATTTGGCTCTCTATTATTGGTGTATAGGAATGCTTGTGATTTTTGCACCTTGATTTTGTATCCTGAGACTTTGCTGAAGTTGCTTATTAGCTTAAGGAGAGTTTGGCCTGAGATGATGGGGTTTTCTAAATATACAATCATGTCATCTGCAAAGACAGATAATTTGACTTCCTCTCTTCCTGTCTGAATACGATTTATTTCTTTCTCTTGCCTGAATGCCATGGCCAGAACTTCCAATATTACGTTGAATAGGAGAGTGGTGAGAGACGGCATCCTTGTCTTGTACCAGTTTTCAAAGGGAATGCTTCCAGCTATTTCTCATTCAGTATGATATTGGCTGTGGGTTTGTCATAAATAGCTCTTATTATTTTGAGATATGTTCCACCAATACCTGGTTTATAGAGAGTTTTTAGCATGAATGGGTGTGGAATTTTATTGAAGGCCTTTTCTGCATCTATTGAGATTATCATGTCGTTCTTGTCATTGGTTCTGTTTATGTGATGAATTATGTTTATTGATTTGCATATGTTGAACCAGCCTTCCAGGGATGAAGCTGATTTGATCTTGGTGGATAAGCTTTTTGATATGCTGCTAGATTCAGTTTGCCAGTATTTTATTGAGGATTTCTGCATCGATGTTCATCCTTGCTCATGGATAGAAAGAATGAATATCATAAAAATGTCCATACTGCCCAAAGTAATTTATAGATTTGATGCTATCGCCATCAAGTTACAATTGACTTTCTTCACAGAATTAGAAAAAAAAATTACTTTAAATTTCATATGGAACCAAAAAAGAGCCAGTATAGACAAGACAATCCTAAGCAAAAAGAACAAAGCTGGAGGCATCATGCTACCAGACTTCAAATTACAATACAAGGCTACAGTTACCAAAACCGCACGGTACTGGTACGAGAACGGATATATAGACCAACGGAACAGAACAGAGGCCTCAGACATAATGCCACACATCAACAACCATCTGATCTGTGACACACTTGACAAAAACTAACAATGGGAAAAGGATTCCCTGTTAAGTAAATGATGCTGGGAAAACTGGCTAGCCACATGCAGAAAGCTGAAACTGGACCTCTTCCTTACACTTTATACAAAAATTAACTCAAGATGGATTAAAAACTTAAATATAAGACCTAAAGCCATAAAAAACCCTAGAAGAAAACCTAGGCAATACCATTCAGGACATAGGCATGGGCAAAGACTTCATGACTAAAACACCAAAAATAATGGCAATAAAAGCCAAAATTGACAAATGGGATCTAATTAAACTAAAGAGCTTCTGCACAGCAAAAGAAACTATCATCAGAGCGAAAAGGCAACCTACAGAATGGGAGAAAATTTTGCAATCTATCCATCTGACAAAGGGCTAATATCCAGAATCTACAAGGAACTTAAATAAATTTACAGGAAACAAACAAACAACCCCCCCATAAAGTGGCCAAAGGATATTAACAGACACTTCTCAAAAGAAGACATTTATGCAGCCAACAAACTTATTTAAAAAAGCTCATCATCACTGGTCATTAGAGAAATGCAAATCAAAACCACAGTGAGATACCATCTCATGCCAGTTACAGTGGCAATCATTAAAAAGTCAGGAAACAACAGATGCTGGAGAGGATATGAAGGAATAGGACTACTTTTACACTTTTGGTGGGAAGTGTAAATTAGTTTAGCCATTGTGGAAGACAGTGTGGTGATTCCTCAAAGATCTAGAACCAGAAATACCATTTGACCCAGCAATCCCATTACTGGGTATGTACCCAAAGGCTTATAAATCATTCTACTATAAAGACACAGGCACACGTATGTTTATTGCAGCATTATTCACAATAGCAATGACTTGGAACCAACAAAAATGCCCATCAATGATAGACTGGATAAAGAAAATGTGGCACATATACACCATGGAATACGGTGCAGCTATAAAAAAGGATGAGTTCATGTCCTTTGCAGAGACATGGATGAAGCTGGAAACCATCACTCTCAGCAAACTAACAGGACCAGAAAACTAAACAGGGCATGTTCTCACTCATCAGTGGGAGTTGAACAATGAGAACACATGGACACAAGAAGGAGAACATTACACACTGGGACCTGTCAGGGGCTAGGGGGCTAGGGGAGGGATAGCACTGGGAGAAATACCTAATGCAGATGACGGGTTGATGGATGCAGCAAACCACCATGGCACATGTATACCTATGTAACAAACCTGCACGTTCTGCACGTGTACCTCAGAACTTAAAGTAAAATAATAATAATAGTAATAATAATAATAATAAAAAGACATTATATCCAGGCACCGTTACCCCAAAATGAAATTGTGTCCTAACTGATAGAAGGTGCAAACACTAGATTTATAAATGAGATGATTTCAGCTAGAAGTAAGAGAAATACTTTTGTGAAAGACAGAATAATTGGCAATAAGGTAAATAAAGGTCCACTGAGGTGGTAAAATTTGAGCTGAGTAGCAACTAAGGAGCATGCTATGTGAAGATCTCTGAAGAAAAAAAAATTGCAGGCAGAGGAAAATGCAAGAGTGAAGAGCTTGAGTCAGGAAGCATTTGCAAATAATTGAAAGGCCAGAGGAACAGGAAAATATCTGTTATGGGAGAGTAGCAGAGAATTATATAAGAAAGACTGGCAGTTGGCTAACCATGAAGAATTATAAAATTTTATTTTACTTTCAAGAGAGATTTGAAGCCATGGGGGTAGTTTCAGCAAAGTGATGGCATAATTAATTTGTAATTATCACTTTCACTGCTCTGTAGAAAATGAATTTTAGGTGCTTAAGAGTTGAAACACATAGACAAATAAAAATTATTGCGGGACTCGAGGAGAGAAATGATAGTAGTTTGTTTTGATGGTAGAAATAATGGAAATGGTAAAAATGTTCAAGTCAGGATACATTGTGTGATTAGAGGTACATACTCTGGTAATTTGATGGGAGGATGGGGTATTTGTGAGGGAATGAAAAGAACAAGGTTATTATATTTGCTATTGTGTTGATGGTAGCTTTGGTGATGGTAAGGATGATGAGTTAATGGTCCTAGTGACATACACTGGATTTGAATATAATTATAATGGAATTTCTTGGAATTTTCAAAATAAACTTAAAAAAATAAACACCTACAAGGTATACAACAAAACATAAAACATGCGAATTGTAAATATGTGAATACGTCCAGATAAACACCGCCAAATAAAGAAAGAGCAACAATGCCTTTTCATTCTCATGAATCTACATACCTAAACTATGCACTATTCTGATTTCTCTTACCATACATTAGCTTTACATTTTTTGAATTTATGTGTAATATAAATTATCTCACATGCATTATTTTTGTGGGTACTTGATCATTTTGGTAAACATTATGTTTACAAAATTTATCCATTTTTATGACAAACAGTAGTTTGTTTCCATTACTGTTTGATATTTCATTGTATAAATACTAAATTGTATGTATCCATTCTATTATTTATGAATATTTGGGCTATTTCCGTTTCTATTGTAATATAATTGTGTGTCTTTTGATGTATAAGGTATGCATTTCTTTGGAGTATATACATAGATTTAAAATTTCTGGATAATAAAAAGTGCATGTTTTCACCTTTAGTAATTCAAAATTTTTTTTATTATATTGCATGACTCCTATTGGCTTATGAGAGTTGCTGTTGCTTCATATCCATGTCAACAGTTGGTGTTATGGGTTGTTAATTTGAGACATTGTGGCAGGTGTGTAGTGTTATCTTTTCATAATTTTAATTTATATTTTATTTTATTTTTTTTGCCCATTTAGCAAGCACATATTTATTGGGAATGAGTGAAGAAAGTCTGAAAGCATATGGTGTGATCATATAGATGGCTGAGGGCCCTAGATTTCCTTGTAGGTTTGCTTTCACGTGGAGCTGGATTTTGGGCTCAGGGTCATCAGATTCCAAAGCCAAGCCCTGACTCCTATACTATGTTACCTGCTAAAAATAAATGAAGATAGGCTGTTAATTGATTTATTATGCAAGGCCATGAGGATTTGTAAAGAGGTTCCTACTATAAACAATTAATGAGGTTGTGAAGATTTTTAGAAGCTGTTTGCCTATTTAAATATCCTTCCGCTGTTTAAATTTTGCACATTTTTAAGTTAGGTTGTTTGTCTTTTTCTAATCTGTTTAATGTGGGTCATGAGTCTTTTTTTATATAAATCTAGATCTATAATCTAGATCTATATTATTTTTTCTTTCTATAAATCTACTTATAATCCATGGCTTGTTTTTTCAATCTTTGATGATGTCTTTTAATGACTTAAAAGCCTGAAACTTAATATAGCACAGTTTACCAGTGTTATAAGGTATGATTAGAGTTTTATATCTTGTTCTAGAAAACTTTGCCTATCTTAGATCATGAAGATATTTTCCTCTATTTGCTTCTAAATAATTTTTGTTTTATACACTGAAATTTATTTTTATGCATGTTTTGATGCATAAGATATATAATGCGTATATATGTATAAAATCTTTAATTTACTCAAAATCATTTCTTTCCTCACTAAAATGGTGTTTCAATGTTGTCGTTAATTTAGTGCTAATTTTTAAATTCTATTTCTATACTTAATTCCTTGTCTTTGGTCTACTTTCTATGCTCGTACAAATTTCTAGTTTATTACAATTCTATAGCAAATATTTATATCTGGTATTGTATATCACCTAAGCTGCTTCTTTGCATTCAAAACTGTCTTCACTACTCTTGGCTGTTTACTTTTACCTATAAATTCTAAAATCATACTGTCAAATTTTTACTAAAATATTCAAATGACTATAAGTTTTTCTATTTCTTAAATTTTGTCAATTTTAATTTTATTATATACATGTATTATTCATATTATATTATTGGTTACATAATGTTTGCTTTTTATAAACTATTTGACCATTATAAAATATATTTATTTCTAATAATTATGTTTGTCTTGCCTTAGTATTCTTTTCGTCATATTCATGGTATATCTTCATCATTTTTTTTATATTGTCTGTGTTCTCATATCGATTTACATATCATTAAATCATATTTGAGGATTTTGTTTTTTAATTTCATTTGGCAATTTTTGACTATTAATTAGATTAGCTTACTTTAATGTAATTACTAAAATATCCGGGGTAAGCCTTACCATTTTACTTTTTATTTCCTGCTTATTTCACCTCTTCTATGTTTATCTCTTATTCCCTATATTATTTTGGATTATACAAATTATTTGAAATATTATTCAGTTTTTCTCTTTGTTAGTTTCTTAGTTAAATACGATTATAGAATTATTATAGAATTATTATTTGACTTAATGGGATCTACCATAAATGATTAATTTTATTATACTGTACCTTAGATAAACCAGAACCATTGAACACTTTAACTCCATCCACCACATTGTATCATTGTATGACTCATGTTACAGATTTAATTATATGTCTATTAGTGATGCACATGATGTAATTATGTGTTTGGTCAAATACAATTTAGATTTACCTGTATATTTAAGCTTTTTTTTTTTTTTTTTTTGAGACAGAATCTGGCTCTGTCGCCCAATCTGGAGTGTAGTGGCGCCATCTCGGCTCACTGCAAGCTCCGCCTCCCGGGTTCACGCCATTCTCCTGCCTCAGCCTCCCGAGTAGCAGGGACTACAGGTGCCCGCCAACATGCCCAGCGAATTTTTTGTATTTTTAGTAGATACAGGGTTTCACCGTGTTAGCCAGGATGGTCTCCACCTCCTGACCTCGTGATCTGCCCGCCTCGGCCTCCCAAAGTGCTGGGATTACAGGCGTGAGCCACCGCACCCTGCCATATTTAACATTGTGATTGCTAGTAATTCCTTTCTGTCTTTCTGTACTTCCATATGGGATCACTTTTTTCTACCTGACTAACTTCCTTCTTCCACTGCAGGTCTGCCGAAAATGAATTATCTTAATTTTTTGTTTGTATGTATTATTGTTTTACTTTTAAGTATATTTTCACTGAGTATGGATTGAAGATCTTTTATTTTAAGCATGTAAAGATATGAATGCATGGTCTTTTGTCTTCCATTGTTTCAATAGACAGTAAATAGAGTAGGTCTTACTTTTTGTTGCCAACATGTCTTTTTGACTGATACTAAAAATTTATCTTGAAATGTGAAGTTTAATGATGTATTTCATAATTTTGGAATATTTTTGGGTTATGATATCTCCAAAAGTATCTTTTGCTGTATTTCTTCCTCTCCCTCTCTTGCTGAACTTCAATTGGATAACATTTTATTATGCATTTTTCCTCATACATTTTGTATGCTCTTTGATGTATTTTATGTATTTTTATGTTTGTTTGCTTGTGAGACAGAATCTCTCTCTGTCGCCCAGACTGGAGTGCAGTGGCACTATCTCGGCTCACTGCATGCTTCGCCTCCCGGGTTCACGCCATTCTCCTGCCTCAGCCTCCCGAGTAGCTGGGACTACAGGCGCCCGCCACCATGCCCGGCTAATGTTTTGTATTTTTAGTAGAGTTGGGGTTTCACCGTGTTAGCCAGGATGGTCTCAATCTCCTGACCTCCTGATCCACCCGCCTCGGCCTCTCAAAGTGCTGGGATTACAGACGTGAGCCACCGCTCCTGGCCAATGACTTGGATAATTATAAATGCCCATGTCCTATCTTTCTTACTAGTCAATGATCCCTCATTTAGTACACTTTTGGCACTCCTTATGAAGAACCTTACTTATCTCTGGTAAATTTTTCTCTGCTTTCATTTCTTCACCAATGTGATTTCACAAGTAGTTGAACAGCCTGAAATGTATTTAAAAATTTCAACTATTTATGGATCTTCCAGTTTTTAGCTCTTTGACTGGATATTCTCCATGTTTGTTTTAAGCTGACGATGCCATTCTAGACCCATTCATTAGCCAACTCTACCTTCTCTACAAATCATAATGTTCATTCTGAAGAGCTCCACTTTACCTGTTAATTACACAACACTGTCCAATTCTCATTCTTTCTAGCTTCTAACTTAGCTTACTGCTCTGATGATAGCCTTACTGGTATATTCCAGGGCACAGTTTTGTATTATTGTAATCTTGATCGTGATTCAGAGTCTTTTTATTCAGTTTCTCTATGTGAAATCCTACTGATTTCCTTTGACCACAGAATCTGGGTGCCATCCACTTGTGGTTGATGTTTTCTGGGAATTAGCCACTGTCCTGCAAGCCGAAACTGTTCAGTGATATTGATTACACCACTCTGGGGAGGCCTGTTCTGTGTAAATACAATTCTTTATTCTCCAGCAATGCCTTGAGGCATGATATTTGCCAAAACAATATTTATCCACGGGCACTTCATTTTAGTGGCAAGGTTAGGAAATATATTTTTCACACCATTTTTTATAAGTGCTCACTTCACTTAGCAAATCTTTAAAGCATGATTCAACTTTTATTGGTTTTCTGTTGCCAATGCACAATTATAAAATTTGGTGCCAATACTGAAAGATATTCCTAATCCTACCTGCAAGTCAAGAATCACTGAGCATTTCAATTTCCTTAGAGAAGTAATAGGCTTAAGGAGCTTGCAGGTAGGGAGATAATATCACAGAAAACTCACAAAGATTGTATAGTTATTGACAGTTCTGAAGATCCTAAGGGACAGCAAACTCTTAAAAGGGAAATTTGCTAAGGGAATTGATAAAGTAGATGTTTGATTTGTCAAGTGACTAAAAATATCTCTACCAAAATAAAATCAGTGTAAATCGGACAAAAGAAGTGGACACGAGCTAAAAGCTACTCAATATTGTGAACATAATTAGATTTATTGCATGCATGTACATTCAGAGATAGATACAATTAACCTTATTTGTTCTGTGATTTCTATCTTGCAGTTTGAAATCTACCATTTGTGAGTAATTTTCTTAAAAGCATAATCAGATTAAATAGGTATTGTCAGTGATTGCTGCCAGCTGGACTTTAGTATGTACCGGTCTTAATTTAAGAATGATTAACTTCCACTCCATAATTTCATTGTTTAATGTTTGCCAATTGATTCCCCCACACTGACTAACAAACAAGCCTCTCTGTTTTTAAAGCTTTTTACTTTGATTTTTTTTCACTGCTTTATGTGGTTGATGTGATCCTAGCCACAAGAAAACGAGCTCAGGGCAGGGGATATGCTCTGTGAGAATTTGCAAATTATCCAAAGGAGGCCCTGAATCCCTGCCCATTCAGAGAGTTTTGGGATTATTTTTTTGGTTATGGTAAAACTGCAGTGGCATATAAAATTATATGCATAAGAGCTTAATCATTTCATAATATACCTGAATTATCTTTAAAGATAATTTTTTTTCTTCCTCAGAAACTGATGGCTTTAGGTAAAAAGCCTTAGCTTGGCACACAAGTCACTTTGAAGCACTTTGGACTGCTTCCCAGATCTGCTGTTCCTCATTTTTTGCTATATAGTGACATCAGCATTTCATATTTCAATATTTATTTTAAGGAAAAAGTGCTTTTCAAAGCTAAATAAACAATGATATCATTAAATTGGCAACATTGAAAGAATAACAAAAACATCTTTATATGCATTATGTCCTTTCATATCCGAAGAGACACAAGGAGAAGATGGACACATACAAACCAGGGAGAGAGGCCTGGAACAGTTCTTTCCTTCACAGCCTTCAGAAGAAACCAACCCTATTGACATATTAATTTTGAACTTCTAGCCTCCAGCACTGTGAGATAATAAAATTCTGTTATTTGGGCCAAAAAAAAAAAAAAACTGTAATAGAGAAACAAAAAATGACTTTATTAATCAAACATAGTTCATAAAATTGGTAACACAAAAAAGGCTCCTCTCAAGCTGGAAAATATGCATGTTGTTACTTCTCATTTTTCAAATGTGACTTATTAAATATCACAAAATTAGGTACATCTCATATTTCTTAAAAATGCTTTGCATTTACAACTTGAGGAAATATTCTTTGTGGAAAGCTTATGCAGCAAATTTTGGTTGGTTGATTGGAAATTGGACACATACATTGACACAACAAACTGGTAGATATATTCCTTATGTGATGTTAGATTTATTATAAGTAATTAAACTTTTATGTTAGTGTGTTATGTAAATTGTTATAGGTAAGTATATTTTGAAAATGTAAAGATAGAATACATTTTTTCAAGCTTTATATATTTTAAAGGCATTTTTTGTATCCATGGTAAGTTGAGCAAGTCAGAAAATACTTAAATTTTCACTGCATGCAAACTTGGGGTTCATAGTGCTCTTGCTGGTTGTTATGAGAACTAACAAGAAGCGCAGTGTATATTCCTTATTAAGAAGTAAAAGATACTGATAGAAAATTTAAAAACCCATAAGTACAAAATTAAATTACAGTTTAAGTAAACAATTCATGAGAATGTTATATGAGATAGAGAAATGGGAGTCCTATAGGAAAATGATTCATTTGAGAGACTGGTCAAAGTCTTTGCTCCATCAACCACTCTGAATCAAATAGTTAAACCACTTTGTTGTTGTTGTTGCTGTCGTTGTTGTTTTAATGCTTTTAAGTTCAGGGATACAAGTGCAGGTTTGTTACATAGGTAAACTAGTGTCATGGGGGTTTGTTGTACAGATTATTTCATCACCTAGGTATTAAGCCTCATACCCATTAGTTATTTTTCCTGCTCCTCTCTCTCCTCTCACCCTCCACCCTCTGATATGCCCCAGTGCATGTCGTTGCCCTCTATGTGTTCTCATTATTTAGCTCCCACTTACATGTGAGAACATGTGGCATTTGGTTTTCTTTTCTTGTTAGTTTGCTAAGGATAATGGTCTCTCGTTCTATCCATGTCACTGCAAAGGACATGATATCGTTCTTTTTTATGGCTGCAGAGTATTTCACTTTTTCTGTAAAGTCTTCTGCACTTTTCTGGAATTCCTCTTGGTAGCATAAAATAAAAATCCTTTGGAAATCACTGGTTTATTTTAGATAATTAGTTCTGGTGTGTGAAGATCAGGTAATGTCCCTAGGAGCATTCTCTTAATAAATTAATTAATATAAACTAATAAAACTCAAAGAGACATGCTAGAAATGTATAGAAGTTACTATAGAAAAAGTGAAATAGTATTCAGCCAAAAAAATGGGCATTTAGGTTGATTCCATGTCTTTGCTATTGTGAATAGCAATATTGTGTGCTCCAGTGAACACACATGTGTATTTTGTCTTTATAATAGAATGATTTAGTAGACAGGAAAGACATATTTGAGGAAAAATGATTCAAAAATTACTTTTGATTAATAAAGTGTAAGTTGTCGTATTACTTCAAGTATGTCTTCCCTGAACACAAATTGTCCATAATGACATATTATTTTACTTCCAAATACAAATATGTAATCCCTTAGGCACCACATTATGTGTGTATATATATGTATATATGTGTGTATATATATATACACACGTGTATGTGCCTATATATATGTATATATATATAGGCATGTATGGATCCATGTTTTTATACATGCATTCAGTCCTCCTAATTATGCTATATTCTTACACTGGAGACCTTTATATTACACCTTTTGTTTACCTATTACCAAGTAGATCTTATTATATGTGTTAGGCACTCTGTAAATGTTTGCTGATCAAACACAATATACTTTAATTGCAAAAGATGTACTTTGTGACATGTGCCCTGTCCCGAGCCCCTTGAAAAGGCAGTCCTTGTGCCATATAAGCCTCTCTCTAGATAAAGACCTAGCCATGAGGCAAATAATCCATAGATATTCTAATAACCTATGACATGTAAGAAGACAAGACCACCAAATTCTACCTATGGATAATTTAAATTGAGTAACACAGAAAGACTTACTCTCCGGAGTGAGCTGTGGGTAACCAGATGGGTCATAATGAAGACTCAAACTGGGGTCATATTTTGCCAAAAGTGAGATACTTATGTGGAGGGAGCTGGTTGAGAGAAAAAAGAGGTTGAAGTATACAAGAAAGAACAAGTAGCCCCAAAGAAATGCTCTGTTTTAAGTACTAGAGGCTTTTGAGACAAGATTCAGTTTGCAACAATTTACCTGTTTAATTTTTTGCCTGGTGGAGTGGAGAAAAGATATAACTAACTATCTTTGTACAATTTAAAGGGGAAAAAAGTCCCATTACATTATTTTAATGAGATAATCTTGAATAAGCCCCTCCTACCAGTTGAGAATCACTGACCGAATAGATAAAAATTAAGGTCATTTTTTAGATCTCATGATTTAATTTTATTAGAGCAAATAAGACAGGACAGCACTTTTTCTTAGTGAAAGTTAGTACAGAAATTCAAAATAGAAATATATAAACACTTTCTTATCTATTTTAGATTGATAAATGTGTATTTAAACTTAAATGTATATACCAAATCAAATTCTAGAAGTCAGTTCCATAAAAAAACAAAATAAATATGCATGCATAAAATTGCACAGCTTGCTAAATTATCCCTATTTAATATCTTCCACTTATGTCTGAACAACCAACTCATAAGCTATATTTTCAGTAGCTTTTGAAGTTTAATTGAACATAAGATCTAAACACATTTTAAGCTTTTTTATTGTTTAAGAATAAGTTCTATATGGCTTGACAGGATTAAAACAATAAACTCCAATCATTCTCTGAACCAGTTTGGTTCAGAGAATGGGTAATTTCTGATTGAGTTTCCTTTAGATGATCAACATAATCTTTCATAAATGTCATATGATGAATTGTTAATAAAAAAGTTACAATGTTAACACAATTCTAGAAAGAATATCTAAATAAGTCAAATTGATTTTAAGGTGGAAATGCCATGTACAACATTTATACTCTAGGTAATTAAACTCATCACTGGCCAGAATGTGTCAAGAAGAGCCATTTAAGTGATAAAATTTTCAATTTAATTCTGTAAATATTTATTGGGCAATTACAATGTGCAAACCACTGTGTAAAATTCAGTTAAGAAGACAAGATATAAAAGACAAGATCTTTGCCCTACATTCTGTAAAAAATGTAAGCAACAATATAAGCTTACAGTTGTTATCTTTCATATTAGCTACAGACATCTTTCCTGAATTATTATAGTTTTCAAAGTATAATCCATATTTTCCAAACTGTGATTATCTTTTGTCTCCTAAAGGAAGTAAATCATAAGAACAGGTTCAAGAGATGATTCAATGATTTTCTTAAAGGAACCAAGTCCTGAGAGAGTGGTTATAAAAAAGCTAACTCTAAAAAACAGGGCTTCTCACTTGTGGTTTTGTATGCCCCATGTGATATATTCCCTTCGTCTAAATTGCTACCTTGAGAAATCAAAAGCCATTGTCTTGGCAGTATGTAGAGGACATTAAGAATAGTTACATAGAGGTAACTGTACAGGTTCAGCTTAACAAGTATGGCCAATTTGTGAGAGAAAAATGGGTTGTGACATTTTCAATGAAAAAGCAAAGGAAAACATGATAAAGAAATAACAAGCATTCTTCAAAAAAGATGAACATACTTTTGCCTTACTTTTCTACCAAAATGTGGTGAGGACATTGAAATTCTTTAGTTTACCGAACTGTGTTTATTTCCAATTGAGTCTCGGCAAGTTGGGGTTCAGCATTCAGGACATAGAGTTAAGATAATGTTATTATAGATTATGTGTTGAGTATGATTTTCAGCATGTTTTTGTTTTGCTAAAATACTCAGAGAATCCAAAACAAAACCATTAAAGTAGGCACATTATTACAAAAGTGAACACTGCTTATAGCTTTGCTAGGGTTTCCTGTGATACATTTATTTTTATGTAAGCCTGATCTTTATTCTAATATAAAATATTTACTTCAAAAATAAACCAAACATTTCCAGGAGACATGGCTGTATCTACATATCATTAAATAAATAGATATTATATTGTATTAGTTTACCAGGGTTGCTGCAACAAAGCCACTGAGTGGCTTCAACAACAAAATTTATTTTTTCACAATTCTGGACAGTAGAAGTCAAAGAAAAAAGTGTCAGCAAGGTTGGTTTTTCTCTGAGGACTCTCATTTTGGTTTTTGTGTAGATCTTTGTCCTCTTCCTGTTCCTTCATAAGGTCTTCCTTTTGTGTGTCCTAATCTTTCATTTTATTAGGAAACTAGTTGTATTGGATTAGATCCCACTCTGATGACCTCATTTAAACTTAATTACTGCTTTAAACACTCTATCTCCAAATACAATAATATTCTCAGCTACTAAAAGTTAGTACTTCAAGCTAGAAAAAATTTAGGATGGGGAACGCAAGTCAGCCATAACATGTTTGAAATACATAGTTCCTTCTTTAGATTAATGTAATATTGCACCTCAAGACCTCTTTATTTCTAATGTAAAAATTATTGCTATAATTAACACCCTTTATTTTTTCATCTATTGATGTAGAAAATATTCTTTTTTGAGCATATGTAAAAATCAAATTATATTACATATTACACAAAACATCTAAAAATTATATATTGATCAAAATGGTCTTAGGTACAATAAATCTAAAGAAAACATAATTAAATAAATTAAATTTACATACCTTTTGAAATATGCATTATGATCTAGTAATGTTTATTCTAGCAGGGTAAGACTTGGTCAAGTAGGGAAATACATCAACATAAATTTTTAAATAAACAAATTAAAGTATATATAAAACCATTTACTTCTGGATGCTGACAAATCACACAATAAAACTTGGTAGCTATTCCTAATTTCCATCTCTAGTGAACAGGAAATTAAAAAATTAAATATAACAAAATGCATTCTCCTAGCCAAAATCAATTAGTAATGGTGAAAATAATAAATTTGATAGGATCAAAATTAGAGAAAATATTATTTTGGCTATTATTTAACTGAAATCCACAAGGATGCTGATGGTTAGAGCCAGTTAAGGTACATTTCATATGTCCTAAAGAGGGTGTCCCCCCATGAATGAACGCTCTTCAGAATGTCAAGTACTGTCTATGTCTTTAAATTCAATTTTGTGTTGTACTAGCTAATTCTGGAAAACAAGAAAAGAACATTTTCCATAGTACATTCCATTCTATTTTAGTGCCATAAAATAGAATTCTAAGCATTCTATTATAAGGCAGCAACAACAATTAGAGATCATTTTAAAACTTCATTTAAAATACTGGCAAAAATAAAAATTCCTAAAAAATTATACAGAAAATATCGAGGCCCTGTACGAATAGGGCAACAAAATTATTAAAGTAAATAAATGTACCTGAGTTATAGTGAGAGGTGTGCAGTTTTTGTGGTTTTGAAGGCAATTTCAAAATATCAATTCTGTTAAATAAATATAGGAATTTACTGAAATGACAATGATAATTCAAGAGTGGTTTCTTGAAATTGTTATAAGTGACTCATAAGATCAAAAAAAGAAATACACATCTTAGAATTTTAATTGGATTTTTAAAAAATATCCACAAATTATTGAAGACTCAAAATAAAATTAGTATAATGAAATCAACTAGCATTATAATAGTAGTAAACAAATAGAACTGAGAAAAGTTAGTACATCAATGAGGAATAATGATTAATTTATTTAGCTATAATTGATGAAATTATGGGAAAGAAAAATCAAAGGTGTACGCCCAGATACACTGTATATAAAATAAATAATTTCTGTTCATTTTTAGATATAGTTATTGAAAATAAAACTATAAAATATTAGAAAAATTAAGAAAAATGAACGTAAATGGTTCTAGTGGAAAAGGTCTGATTAAGGAAAACAGAAAACACAAAAGCCATAAAATAATATATTATTAATTATATTTTTCTGTATGGAAGAACAAACAAATCAGATGACAAATTAATTATACTCCAAATAACTGCTTGTGATCTATAACATACACAAAGGATTAATATCACAGTATGAAAAGATTACTCAGAAATCTTCCAGGAAAACACAAGCAGAATTTTAAGTAGGCAATTCTTAATGGAAATGTAAAAATATGTTTAAAAACTAGTAGGTAAGCATTACTACATATATTATATTATTTTTAAAATCACATTTTACTTTGTGTTTTATAAGTGATTTTACCCTGACTGTATTTTATTTTAATCTTACATAAATTAATGTAATAAAGAAAAGCTTATAAGTTATTTTTACCCTAAAGATATCTGCATAATAAGAGGGAATGCTCCCTAAATCCTTCAAGGAAGTGAATATTGTTCTAATACCAAAACCAGAAAAGGATATAACAACAACAACAAAAAACTACACACCAATATCCCTGATGAACATAGATGCGGAAATCCCCAACAAAATACTAGCGAACTGAATTCAACAGTATATCAAAATGATAATACACCATGATCAAGTCTCATCAAGGATGCAGTGCCGGTTTAACATAAGCAAGTCAATAAATGTGATATACCACTATACCACACAAACATAAGTAAAAACAAAAATTATATGATTATCTCAATAAACACAGAAAAAATATTTTGACAAAATCCAGCATCCCTTTAGGATTAAAACCCTCAGCAAAATCAGCATAGAAGGGACACAGCTTAGGGTAATGAAAACCATCTATGACAAACCCACAGCCAACATTATATTGAATCGGGAAAAGATGAAGCATTTCCCCTGAAAATTGTAACAAGACAAGGATGCCCACTTTCACTGCTTTTATTCAGCATAGTACTGGAAGTCATAGTCAAAGCAATCAGACAAGAGAAATAAATAAAAGTCATTAAATTGACATTATTTCTTTAAAAGAAACATAGATTCCTCTCCACATTTTGGGACAGTTAAGTACATTAAGTAATTTATTAAATTTTTGTTTTAATTATATGTTAACACAAGATTATATGAAGGACAATATTGTTAACATCATTTCTATATAGTTAAAAAAAACTATATTTACCACTAATTTGTAATAATCCTTAAAGCAAAAATTATTTGGCAAAAGCAATATGACACAACATGAAGACAAGATTCTTCTCATACTGTGGCATCAATTGACAACTCCATATGACTTTTGTTCAAAAACGTACGTCCAGAAGAACAATGTCCCTTTATAGGACACAATTATAAACCATATTTTACTTATTTGCTTTACATAAAACAATGTACATAATGTATATCTGAATTTACTTTTATTTTAATGATAAAATATTGTTAAAACTTTGTCACTGTTATTTTATATTTCTATGGCATATGGTCTCATACATGTGCTTATTTGTCCAAATACTTGCATAATAATGAAAGATGAACAATTATTTTTGTTCTGGACCAGGAGTCAACAACACACAAGTTACATCCCACAGGTTATATCCAGCCAGCAGCTTGCTTTAAATCTGGCCTAAGAACTAAGAATGGTTTTACATCTTTAAACCACTGTAAAAACAATGAAAGAAAACAAAATTGAAGAAGAATATATGATAGAATTGTATGAGTTGAAAAACCTGAAATATTTGCTACCTGACCCTTCACAGGAAAAAAAATGCCAGTTTCTACAATAAGTAATTACAAATCCATCACATCTGAAGCTAAATTATGTTCCAAAAGTTTACAAAAATCTATTTTTATACGTACTTTGTTATTATCATTTCCACAAAGTTAATACACAAATTATAAAAATATTCAGACTCTTGCGAGTCTCAACTATGTTGTAACATTCAAATAGCAAACCTTTGTCATGCAAGGAAGTATGGTGCCAGTTTGTGACTGTGAATTAGTTACTTATCTAGTCTAAGCTGCATTTTCTTCATCTGTGACATGGGAATGATGGCGATAACCCCTGGGTGGTATTTTGATGTTCATTGAATTAATATAGGCTAATTACTTAATACAGTGACTCACACATAGTAAGTAACCCAAGAATACCAGTTTTGCTTCCCACATTTTTACACTGATTCATTTTATATATTCATTTAAATTATGGAGATAATACAACCATAAAAATTAGAGTTCTACCAGCAGGAATGGACAAAAGCAGTTTCTTTCTTAAAATGCAAAAAAAAAAACCAATAGTGCTTGTGCCAATATAGAATTATATTAATATAGTAAAATAAAAAAGTTTATTATAAAGTTTATTATATGACTAATGTGCTGTGTTTGATGCATATGGTTAACAGTGGAATATTTTGAAATTATTCTGGTCAATAAATTTATATATATGAGGGACATAAAATTACCTATGGGACTTAGTCACTAATAGAATGGAGAAAATTTCTCTTTGTTTTTCTCATTGTTAACTGTGTATTGAATAATAACTAATGGCTATAATTGCTCACAATTGTTAAATACTTTACATGTTAGTCTTCTGTTGTACAGAATACTTCTCACACATTATTGCACTTAATCTTCAAAAATCCTTTGAATTAAGTATTATTACCCTCATTTTAAAGATGAGAGAATTGAAGCTTAAAAAGTGTAAGTGATTTGCGCTGGATCTCACAGCTATTAACTGATGGAGTCAGAATTAAAATCAAAGAAATCTGACGCAGAACCCGTGCTCTTCACTGTGCTAAACCATTGCTGAACTGATAGAAACCTGTCAACAGTTAATTTGAAGTTGCTTATTAAAGCTCTTCTAATTTTAGATAGTATATTAATTTAAATAGTTTAACTCTAAAATATGGGGAAATGGGAGAAAAAGAAAAATATGTGAAATAATATGTGAATAATATGTGAAAAATATGTGAAAAATATGGGAGAAAAAGAAAAATTATTTGAAATAATTCTATGCCTATTGAAAGAGTAGGCAATTCAGAAAGAACAGGCATAAAATATAATATTAGAAAAGTATAAAAGAGGTTTTGTAAATTGTTGTTGTGGTCTGTTTTTAAAAGATTAGCCATTAAAAAAGGATAAGTTCATGTCCTTTGGAGGGACATGGTTGAAGCTGGAAACATGATTCTCAGCAAACTAACACAAGAACAGAAAACTAAACACTGCATGTTCTCACTCATAAGTGGGAGTTGAACAATGAGAACACATGGACACAGGGAGGGAAACGTGACACACTGGGGCCTGTCAAGGGGTGTGGGGTTGGGAAAGGGATAGCATTAGGAGAAATATCTAACGTAGATGACGGATTGATAGGTGCAGCAAACCACCATGACACGTGTATACCTATGTAACAAACCTGCACGTTCTGCACATGTACCCCAGAACTCAAAGAATGTTTTAAAAATATTAATCTTTTAAAAGAATAATACTGTTTTAGATATAAGCAAATATGACAAAGCAAATATGTATTTCAAATTTCTGGTTTGATATAGAGTAGTTGGATTTTCAAACAACCACATTAAATTATAACACCACTTTCTAAATATATTTATTCCACAGATTCCTTCTAGCAGTTTTTATAGATAACAAATAATTATAGATTATTCAGTCACTGCATGAAAATGCCTGACTTGTTTTGTCCTCAAAATTATCCTCACATAGTGAAAAATAATTATTCTTGATTTCCAACCGTGTAGGTTTTTTTGTTTAAATTAAGGACCCAATTGAATGTTCTAGTAATCAGATTATTTGTGGATTTTATAAAAAAATATATATATATATTTAAAATATTAGTGTGCCTGTTTATTTTCTTGCTCAAAGAAGCATCAGGGCAAAAGGTGAATTTTGTGTGTATACGAATCAATATTAGTAAGCTCTAGAGTGCAGTATCCACTTTCCAGACCCTTGCAGGTATCTGGCACATCTCATTGGAGGATATTAAGAAATGATCTCCAAGTTCAGTGAGTTCTCCAGGCCTGAAGCCCTTTACTTGAATTTCAAAGTGAGAATTTTATTCAACAATTAATTTCTTTGCTCTTGCCTTGCTGCATACTTAGCTATTGCTACCAAAATATATGAAATAATCTTACAAACTATTTTAGAAAAAAATAATTTCATATAAAGCAAGATAAATGGCTTTCAGGGATTCTTCCCAAAAAAAAGAATCTCGCAAAAAGAATGGCAAAAAATATCAATATTCTTTTTTTCCACTGCCTGGCTGTAACTTTTATCACCCTTTGCAATAACGGGCCAATAAGTTTTAATTTTTTATTATTAAGACAATCATGTATTTTATGAAGCACTTAATATAACAGCTTTATTCAAGAACAATATTAATATAATAACAAATACAATCCTTCTCAGATCCATTTGAAGAGCGTATCAGAAACAAAGTAAAAGGAATTTAAAAGCATGTGCAATGGGAGTAAAGGATTTAGAGTTACATAGTTTAGAATGGGGCACTTGGCAACTGGAGTTTAAATCAAATGGATTGCACAAATGTAAAGTCTACCCAGCAGAGAATTGCAATAATAAAGTTATCTATTAGTTCTGAAAGCTATGACTAGATATCTAAACTAATTTTCTTCTATTGCCGTCTTAGATGATCAATGGGGTTAGGTGTAAATGTTCTAGTTAGATGATGAGAAGCTATTATTCTTGAACTTATTATTGTTATGTAGCAACCAAAAATATAACTACCTTAACATTTTGAGTAACATCAAATTTAAAGAGAAGTAAGCTTGTTTCATCAGTAGCAGAATTTATTTAAAATAATGAGATTAAATTAAAAATTCTAACTCAATGACAAGCCAAGTTTTCAGAAATGTTTAAGTCTAATTTTGACAGTTTTACTGCATTTCCAGTTATCACTAAAACTCAAGAATGAAAGATTAAATTTGCTGTAAAGTTTATTTTATTTCATTCCTTCTTTTATAATTAGAAGTTTTAAGATATATTTCATCACATTGAAGTTGAGATTTTACATTAATTACTTTCCCCAGTGTTTTTATTGTACTCTAGACTATAAAATTTACCTGAGGGGAAAAGGCTATCTCTGTTAGATTCACTAATATTTTTTCAGTTTTTAGAACAGTATCTGGAATGATATATATGTTTGTTAAATAAAGAATGAAAAATGAACATTATGTATAATGTTATATCAGGTATAAATAGTTAAAAATTCTCTTAAGAAAATTAAAATGGGTAATGGACCAAAAGTATAGGAAGGAGGTATAAAGAAAGAAAACAGCACATATCAATGTGAGTAATACAATCACATAATTACTATTTTACTTTATAAGAAGGTCTACCGAACATAAAATACTTAAAGAGCTAAGAAAATATGGTTCTTTTTTTTTTTTTTTTTTTTTTTTTTGGGTAAACATTGAAAGTCTAAGTCCATCAGGGAGAAAGATGTCAAAAATTGTGTAGCTCAGTTCCCTTAGGTTTATGAAAATAGGGACTTTTTACTTTGGGTACCTAAAGCCTGAAATTTGCCATGAATCATCAAATATTCACTTAAATAGACTGTAATATTAAGTTATAAAATATTACATAGGACATTCTGTTACATTGTCCATCTCCAGAACTAAACATTTAGATAAAAGTACCATTATCACAATAATTAATTCGTAACCAAGACAGTTCCAATTTTTGTTTAGTTCTAACTCAATTCAGATGGGTATCTAGCTAATATTGCCTAAAATCATATGGTGGGTGTTCTCTCAAACTGGAGAACCCAAAAGGAGAACTAATGTCAGTGCTGTTTAAAGGTTTGTTTACATTTTATTAATGCCCCTGTTAAAACGTTATTAGTAAGCTTAAACAAACAAAATAAATAAAACAAAGTAAAAATTATCCAAGCTATTAACTGGTAAATTCTGAAACTGGCTTAAATTACTTATTGAAATTATGACCATAAATTTAACTGCATTCATCTTCTGGAGTACAGTGAAAAGGTACTGTCTATAGCGATTAAATAATGCTTAAAAATTTCTCCTCTTTTGAATCTTTTTTCTTGCCAGGCACTACTCTAGCTGTTTGTTAGTTCTGCAGTCATAAGAAGAAAGATCTCAACTGTACTCTTACAGAACTCATTTTCTGTAGCTAGTTAAGTCCCCAAATTCATACTATGTAATATAAGGAAAGTACAGTGCTCTCAGATCACATGAGATGAGCATTTACACTAGATGCCTAAGCTGTGAAATGGAAAAGTTAGAATGAGTTGGCAAGCATGCTTTTGTAGAAGTTTTCTAAGTCAAAACACATCATGTAACAAGAATCCCAAGCCAATGTGATAACAACACAATAGAGAGAATAAAAGGATGTCAATATGGTGCAACATAAGTTGTCACAAATATACAGAAATCTGCTTATTAATGGTCTCGCATGCCCTGTTAGGAGATTTTGTCTTATCTCAAGAAAAATATCAGGATTATTGAACAGCTTATCTTTAAATAGGTGAGTAAAGTGATTTGAAAGCTAATACATTTTTTCAGATACTTTATAGCACAGAGTTTATTATTGCATCTTAAATCCTTGAAGATAAATTTATATGTGACTTTTGATGCAATAAAACAGATAAAGATTGATTTTATAATAGAGTTTACTTTTTAGAGCCATTTTTGGTTTACAGAAAAATTAAACAGTTGGTATAGAGATTTCCCAAATATTCCCTGCCTCTACACATGCATATTCTCTCCTATCATCATCATCATCCCCTCAGCGGTGCATTTGTTAGTACTGATGAACCTACACTGACCCAAAATAATAAACCAAGGTTCCTAGTTTTCATTAGGGTTCACTCTTGGGGTTGTACCTTCTATAAATTTGTACAAATGTATAATGACAAGTATGCATCTATCATTATAGTATCATATAGAGTAAAAGACCTCTGAGATACACCATTCATCTCTCCCTGCCCCAAGTGTTTGCAGTAAATAATCTTTCTAATGTCTCCATAGTTTAACCTTTTTCAGAATGTCATATAGTTGGAATCATACTGCATATAGCCTTTTTAGATTGGCTTCTTTCATTTAGAAATATACATTTAAGATCTCTCTACCTCTTTTCACGGCTTGAGAGCTCATTCCTTTTTACTGCAGAAAAATATTAAGTAGTTTATTCATTTACTGGAAGACATCTTGGTTCCTTCCACATTTTAGCAGGTATGAAAAAAGCTGCCATAAATATCCAAATATCCATTATTATCCAAACTTATTTTGTGTGGAAAATAAGTTTTCAACTCATTTGGATAAATACCAATGAGTGCTAATGCTGAATCATTTGGTAAAAACATGTTTAATTTGATAAGAAACTGCTAAAGTGTCTTGTAAAGTAGTTGTACTGTTTTGCTGACACACCAATAATGAATTAGAATTCCTGTTGCTCCACATTAGCACATTTTAAATATTATCTACAAATTAGATTGAAGGAGAAAAGGTGGTGCATGAAGATGCAGTAAGAATAATTTTTAAATGTCCTATGGAGTATGGTGACTTAAATGAGAATACTAACTGGCAGAAAAATAAGTACATTTAAAGTATAATATGAATATAGACATTTACTTCTGAAATGGCACAATCAGAAGGTCCATGGACAAGTTTTTCAGTGAAACAAGCATTACTGGTAAAAATCATTGAAAAAAACTCTTCTGAAATTATTCAAAGGAAATGAAACAAATGAGATATTCAAGAAAACATACTTGAACTTGGTAAAAACAGTGAATCTATGGAATTTAAAATGTGAGCATATCCCTTTATCTTCCCTTCCACTTCGGCAAGATGGAAATTCCAGGCATGCACAGTAAAAAACACAGAGCTCCCTTCTTCAAGCTCTAATTCTAGAGATATCGTACCTTCTCGGGAGGGAAAGACCACCAGAGTTTTCTATTCTCCATAGCTTCGCATTGCAAAAGTTAAATTCTAGAGGAGTATAACCAAAAGATTGGGGGCTTCTTTCTTCTTTCCAGCCCAACTCAAAAGGCACGGATCAACCTCAAGTACAGTATAGTGAGAATATTGGGCATCATAATATTTACCCCAATTTATTTGTAAGGCAGAAATATTATGGAGGGGAAGCATGAAGGAAGAACAGTTTGACCTACCACTCTGCTCCTAAAGGGTGTCACCTAGAGAGAAGCATCCTACTGTCTCGCCCATCAGCTCCAGAGCTGGACATCAGATTATTTGCCATGGGAAGAGGCAGACCACAAATCAGAGAACTCTGAAGCTTTACCCAAAGGAAATGCCTCTATTTGAAACAGAGTATTGAGAAGTTCAAGTTGAAGGGTGACATTAAAAAACAATGGAGCTCTCGTTAGTAAGCAAATTAGTAAAGACTGATGCTTCATGGGAAATAAGGCCTGAACAATTAGCCAGCTTGTTTGCCAGAGAGAAATAAGAAAATACAAAGCTGAGATGGCTCCATCTGAAGTGAGACAAAAAATCTCAAACATTTACCTCAAAAGCTATCCTCACAAAGGACTCTGGATTTAATTGAATTAAACTGTGGGTCAATTTATACCATAGGACCATCTTGAAAACAATAGAGGAGTTAGCTAAAAATTAGTGGACCCTAACAGTTAGACATGTTCAGGGAAAGAGAAAATCAAAATTAGCCTTATTAAACCACTTTCATCCAAGTGTGACTTTGTGTTTACCAAGGCTGCACAGTCTAAGAAGCAATGCCAAGACTTCACCCTGTGGAGGTAATATGCTTCACTAAAATAGTACAGCCAGTCATTAAATAAGTAAGCAAACAACAGTAAGAGGCACTAGAGGGATGAATAGTTGTTATTTGAGTGGCTACAATATATCTAATATTTCCAGTTTTCAGTAAAAAGTATTAAAATGCAAAAATAAATTATAGAAGTGTGATTCATACACATATACATATGTTATGCAAATAGGCAAAATAAAGAGCTAGTGAAAGAGACCAGATGTCAAATTCAAATTTCAAAGTAGCTATTTTAAATACACTTAAGGAAAAACAACAACAACAAAACATGATCAAAGAAGTAAAGACAGTTATAATGACAGTGTTACATAAATTAGAGAATACCAATAAAGAGAAATTATAAAATAAACTGTACATAAGTTTTTGAATTGAAAACTACAATAACTGGCCACGCATGATGACATACATTGCTAATCCCAACATATTAGAAGGCTGAGGCAGGAGGATTGCTTGAGGCCAGGAGTTTGAGACCAGCCTAGGAAACATAGCAAGATCTTGTCTCTATAGAAAAAAAGAAAGAAAAAGAACAGGAAACTATAATAACTTAAAAGAAATTTCACTAGCAAGACGAAAAGCAGATTTGAACGGCAGAACATAAAATTAGTAAACTTGAAGATAGATTGATAGTGATTATACAGTCCAAAAAGTGGGTTAGAGAGAGAGAAAAAGAGAGAGAGAAAGAAAGAGAGAGAGAGAGAGAGAGAGAGAGAAAAATAAAGAAAATAATCTTAGAGAAATGTGGGATTTTGTGAAGGGGTAAATTCATGTCAATTTGGATAGGGTGTGGTACCCAGACACTGATCAAACACCGTTGTAGACTTTGCCATGAATGTGTTTTAGATTTGTTAACACTTAAATCAGTAAACTCCGAGTAAAGCAGATTACCCTCCATAATGTTGGTGAACTTTATCAATCATTTGAAAGCTCTATGAGCAAAAGACTAAAGTCCCCTAAGGAAAAGGAATTCTGCCTCCAAGCTGCTTTCAGGCTTGAGACTATAATATCAACTCTCCTGGGTTACCATCCTGCCCTTCAGATTTGAGACTTACCTGCTGTGCGAGGCCAATTTACACACACACACACACGCACACAATTGGTTCTCTTTCTCTCTGGAAAACATTGATTAATACAAATACCATTAGGTATACCAAAATATGCATAAAGACAGTAGTGGAAGAAGAGAAAGGATGCAAAAAAGAATTCAAATAAATAATGTTTTTCAATTTCTGAAATTCATTGAAACACTTACACACATTCAAGTAACTGGACAGAATCCAAGTAGGATAAACACAAAAATTCTCACAGACATAGCATACAGTAAAAATGCTAAAAGTCAAAGAATAGAGAAACTCTCAAAAGCAACAAAAGAGAAACAGCCAATCATGTACAAAAAAAACTCCATGAAGATAAACAGTTAACTTCTTATTTAAAAAAATAGGAAGACAGAAGTCAGTAGGAGAACATATTCAAAGGGCTGAATGAATAAAAACCTGTCACCCAAGAAACACATATCTGGAAAAACAATCTTTCAAAAAGGAAGGCAAAATAAAAACATTTTCAACTGAACAAAAACTGAGAGAACTAATTGTTATCAGACTCCTTACAAGAAACACTAGAGAAAATTCTTCAGGATTAAAGCAAGGGACCCCAGAGAGTAATTTAAAACCACACGTTAAAACAAAACAAAGCAAAAAAAGAGGACTTACATTTCTGGTCTAAGATATAAAGGGCTTGGAAGTTGAATTAGTCAGAGTTCTCTTAGAGAAACAGAACTAACATGATATATACATCCTGTTATATATATAAATATATATATATTTATATATATATTTATATATATAACATACATGGGATGTACATATATATATACACACACATATACATGGGAATTTATTAAGTATTAGCTTACACAATCACAAGGTTCTACAATAGGCTGTCTGCAAGCTGAGGTGCAAGGAGAGCCACTCCGAGTCCCAAAACTGAAGAACTTGCAGTCCGATGTTTGAGGGAAGGAAGCATCTAGCATGAGAGAAAGATGTAGGTTGGGAGGTTAGGCCCATCTCATCGCTTCATGTTTTTCTGCCTGCTTTATATTTGCTGGCAGCTTATTAGATGGTGCCCACCCTATTAAGGGTGGGTCTGCCTTCCCCAGTCCACTGACTCAAATGTTAATCTCCTTTGGCAACACCCTCAAAGACATACCCAGGATCAATAGTGCATCCTTCAATCCAATCAAGTTGGCACTTAGTATTAACCATCACAGAAGTCATCACCCCTATCTTCAAAATAAGAAATATCTGGACAAACTGAAAACCCACAACTTTTCTTAGATCACAGAAGTATTGAGGACATGCTGCCATTTTGAAAATCGGAAAGTCAAAAAAATATGAAGATTCACACCTTACCAGAAGCAGAATCCTAGGAGTACAATTCCATTGCTGGGGCAGTAATAATAGAAGCTCTTAAACTGTGATTGACAAATTGGTAGGGGCTAAGTGTTAATGAGATTGAAAGTGCATTAGTCCAGTGATACAGTCTTGGGAAGAACCACCACACTTTCTTGAACTCAGATTATTTTACTCAATATATTATGTGTGGCTATGAACAAAAAATTACAAGGCATACTAAAAGGCAAAATATAAAATCTGAAGAGACAAGAAATCATTAGGATTAATCTCAGATATGGCAAATATTTTGGGATTATCAGAATGGTAACTTAAAATAACTATAATTATTTTGCTAAGGGTCCTAATATAAAAATTAAATAGCATACATAAAAAAATAGGCAATGTAAGCAAAAAGATAAACTTATAAAAATCCAAAGGAAATGCTAGAAATAAAAAATACACTCTAACAGAAATGAAAAATTTATTTGACATATTCATGAGTAGAGTGGATATAGTTTTAAAAAATCAAAAATCTTGACATTATATCAATAGACTCACAAAACTGAAATGCAAGAAAAAAAAGAAAAAAATATAACAATATCCAAGGATTCTGAGACACCTGTAAAACCTAGAATATATGCATAAAGAGATAAAAATAGTAAATATATACAGTAATAATAACTGATAATTTTCAAAAATCAAGGACACCAGAACTTCTTAACAAATTAAAAAATTAGACAAAGTATATTCTTAGACTTACATGGAGTTAGACTACAAAATGATGAAAGAAGAAGAGCTAGAAAACTTCAAATTTTTACAGATTAAATCACAAACTTCTAAATAGTTCTTGTGTTAATTAATGTCTCAATAACAAATTAAAAATATTTTAAATTAAATGAAAATGAGAATATGGTTTTATAAAGTTTGAGGAATTATGGACATCAGTGCTCAGAATGATAGTCACACCACTGAAGGCATATATTAGAAAAAAGCATCAAATAAAAATAAATGTTTATTTATAGATCTAGCTAGATAAATCCAAGGGCTATATGAGGAAACCTATAAACCTCTGATAAAAAATCAGTTAAGATATAAAGACATAGTTCATGTTTATTGACAGAAACACTCAACATTGCTAAGATGTCCATTTTTTCAACTTGATCTATAAATCCAATGCAATTCTAATCAGAATTCCAATGAGTTGTTTTTTTGCATATTGGCAAACCAATAATAAAGTTTACATGAAAAGGCATCAACAAGAATAGTAAAAGCACTTGGGGAGGCTGAGGCAGGTGAATCACTTCAGGCCACTAGTTTGATACCTGCTTAAGCACCATAGTGAGTCCCCACCTCTCTATATATGTTTTTTTTTTTAATTGGCAAGGTTTGGTGGTGCACTCATGTGGTCCCAGCTACTCATGAGGCTGAAGTGGGAGAATTGCTTGCACTCAGGAGTTTAAAGTTACAGTGAGGTATGATCATGCCACTGCACTCCAGCCTGGAATTACAATTTTGGAAGACTCACAATGCATGACTTCAAAACTATTACAAAGCTACCGTAATAAAGACAGCTTGGTTTTGGTGAAAGAATGATCATATTGACCAATGTAACAGAATCGAAAGCCCAGGAATAGACCCATACAGATATAGTCAACTAATATTTGAAAAAGGAGCAAAGGCAGTTCAAAGGGGAAAAATAGTGTTTTCAATAAACAGTTGTACAATAATTGGATATCCATATGCAAAAATGAACCGAGAAACAAACTTTATATATTTCACAAAAAACAGCACAAAATAGAATGTAGACCTAAATGTAAAACACAAAATAATATAAGTTCTGGAAATGCAGTAGAAAGTCTACATGACCTTGTGCTTGATGATGAGTTTGTAGATAAAAACTTCAAATGTACAATCTATGAAAAAAGAAAGTTTATACTTTCTTAAAATTGAAATTGATCTGCTTTTTAAAAGATAGTTAACAAAAAACAATGATAGTTAACAAAATAAAAATACTGATCTTTATTAAATAAAAAATAATAACTTTCTAAAAATGAAAGAAGTCTTCAAGAAACATGGAATTACATAAAACAACCAAACATTATGAGTTGTTGGCTTTCATGAGAGAGAAGGAGAAAAGAAAAGAACCTGAAAAACATATTTGAGGGAATAATTTAAGATAAATTTTCTAATATTCCTTGTCAGATAGACATTCAGAAACAGGAAATCCAGAGAACACCAGCAAGATACTATGCAAAATGAATTTTACTAAGGCATGTAGTCACCAGACTGTCCAAGGTCAATACTAAAGAAAAAAAAATCTTAAAGCAGTTGGAGAAAAAAGTCAGATCACATACAAAGGGAACCTCATCAAGTTAACAGCAGATTTCTCAGCAGAAATCTTACAATCCAAGAGAGACTGGGGACTTATTTTCACCATTATTAAAGGAAAGGAATTCCAACCAAGAATTTCATATCCTGCCAAACTAAGCTTCAAAAGTGAAGAAGAAAGAAAATATTTTCCAGAGAAGCAAGCACTAAGGGAATTCATTACCATGAGATTAGCCTTACGAGAGAGTTCTAAACATGTTAAAGAACAATACTTGATCACACACACACACACACACACACACCTCAGTTAAGTACATAGTTCACAGACCCTGTGAACCAAGCACACAATATAAAATACAAAGAAAAGAGCTAAAAACTTCACAATAACCACACATGTCAATACTATCCTTGAACATAAATGGTCTAAACCTCACTTAGAAGGCACAGTGTAGCAAGCTAAGTTGTTTAAAAAAAGGACCCATTCCTCTTCTCTCATCAAAAGATTCATCTCACATGCAACAACACCCATAGGCTCAAAGTAAAATAATAGAGAAAGATCTATCATGCAAATGGAAGACACATACAAAAAAAAAAAAGTAGTCACTATTTTTAAACTAGATTTTAAACCAATGATAGTAGAAAAAAAGACAAAGAATGGCATTATATAATGATAAAGGGTTCAATTTAACAAGAGGACAACTATCCTAAATATATATGCACCCAACATTGGAGCACACAGATTCATAAAACAGGTTTTTATGGATGTAAAAACAAAAACAAAAACTTTAGACAGCCACAAAATAATAGTGGAGGACTTCAACACCCTACTGACAGCATTAGACAGATAATGAAGGCAAAAAACTAACATAGAAATTTTGGACTGAAATTCTACACTTAACCAATGGGAACTAATAAACATTTACAGAATACTTTACCATCAACCACAGAATATATATTCTTCTTGTATGCACACAGGATATACTCTAAGCTCAACCACATGTTCAGCCATAAACCAAGTCACAATAAATTCAAAAAACTTGAAATCATACCAGCCACACTCTTGGATCACAGTAGAATAAAAATAGAAATCAACACAAAGAATCTCTTAAAACCACACAATTACATGGAAATTCTTGCTCCTGAATGACTTTTAGTAAACAAAGAAATCAAGACAGAAATTTAAAAAAATTCTTTGAAAAAAATGAAAACAGAGACACGACATACCAAAATCCCTGGGATGCAGCAAAAATAGTGTTAAACAAATTTCTAGCACCAAACACCTACTTCAAAAAGTTAGAAAAATCTAAAATTTATGATTTCATATTACACCTAGAGGAACTAGAAAAGCAAGAATAAACTAAATTCAAAGTTACAAGAAGAAGGGAAATAAATAAAATCAGAGTGGAACTGAATAAAACTGAGATCTAAAAATCCATACAAAGACTCAATGAAACCAAAACTTTTTGTTTGAAAGGATAAACAAAACTAATAGACTACTATCTGTATTAACACAGGAAAAAAAAGAGACAATCTCAATAAGTATCATCGGAAAAAAAAGTAACATTATAACTGATTCCACAGAAACACAGAATATATACTCACAGACTGTTATGAACACCTCTATGCAACCAAGCTAGAACATCTAGAGGCAATGGTTACGTTCCAGGAAACACTAAACCTCTCAAGACTGTATCAGGAAGAAATTGAAACCCTGAACCGATTAATATCAAATTCTGAAATTGATCAGTAATAAAAACCTACAAACCCCCCAAAATTCTGGACCGGATGGATTCACAGACAAATTCATCCAGATATACAAATAGCTTGTACCAATTCTACTGAAACTATTTCAAAAAATAATAAAGAAAAGACTCCTTTCTACTTTATTTTATGAAGCCAGTATCACCCTGATACTAATACATGGGAAAGACATCACAAAAAAAGAAAACCTACAGGCCAATATTCCTGACAAATATAGACACAAAAATCTTCAACAAAATACTAGCACACTGAATTCAACAGCACATAAAAAGTTAATTTGCCACAATTAAGTAGTCTTCATTCCTAGATGAGAGGATGGTTGAATGAATCAATAAATGTGATTCACAACATTAACAAAATTAAAAACAAGAACCATATGATCATCTCAATAGACATAGAAAAAAATTTATAAGATTAAACATCCCTTCATGATAAAAATCCTCAACAAGCTAGACATGAAAGGAACATGTAGTAAAATAATAAGAGCTATCTATGACAAACCCACAGCCAACCTCAGACTGAACAGAGAAAAGCTGGAGGTACTCACCTTAAGAAGAGGAACAAGACAAGAATGCCCACCCTCACCCTTCAATTCAACATTGTACTGGAAGTCCTAGCTAGACAAATCATGCAAGAGAAAGAAATGAAGGCACCCAAATACGAAAATGAGAATACAATTTATCTCTGTTCACTAAAGATAGGATTCTTTACCTAGAAAACCCTAAAGACTCTGCCAAAGCCTCTTAGAACTGATAAATGACTTCGGTAAAGTTTTAGTATAAAAAGTCAATGTAAGAAATTAGTAGCATTTCTATACACCAATAATGTTTAAGCTGGGAGTCAAATCCAGAATGCAACCCATTTACAATAGCCACCAAAAAATAAAATAAAATACCTCAGAATACATCTAACCAAGAAGTGAAAGATCTGTACAAGGAGAATTACAATATGTTGCTGAAATAAATCATAGATAAACAAATAGCAAATCATACTATATGCATGGATTGAAAAAATCAATACTGTTAAAATGACCCTATTGCCCAAAACAATATACAGTTTCAATGATATTTCCTATCAAACTACCAATGTCACTTTTCACAGAATAAGGAAAAAATTATCCCAAAATTCATATAGAATTAAAACAGAGCCCAACAAGGAAAACTCTCTTAAGCAAAAAGAACAAAGCCAGAGGCCTCATATTATTCTGTTTCAAACTATATTATAAGGCTACAGAAACCCAAACAGCATGGTATGGTACAAAAACAGACACATAGAACACAATAGAGAACTCAGAAATAAAACCACATACATACAGCCATCTGATCTTTGACAAAGTCCACAAAAGTAAGGAATGGGAAAATGATTCCCTATTCAGTAAATGGTGCTGGGATAGCTTTCTAATCATATGCAGAAGAATGAAACTGGATGATTGTCTTTCCCTCTGTAATCAAATTAACTCAAGAGAGATTAAAGATTTAGATGTAAGACCTTAAACTATAAGAATTTTAGAAGAAAATGTAACAAATACCATGATAGACATAGGCCTTGGTAAAGAATTTATCGTTAAGACCTCAAAATTAATTGCAACAACAACAAAAAAAAGTTGCAAACGGGACCTAATTAAATTAAAGAGCTTCTGCACAACAACAGAAACTATCAACAGAGTAAACAGGCAACCTGCAGAGAGGGAGAAAATATTTACAAACTATGCATCCAACAAAAGTCTAATATCCAGAATGTATAAGAAGTTACACAATTCGACAAGCAGAAAAATAACGTTTTTAAAAAGTGGTCAAAACAATTCAGCAGATATTTCTCAAAAGAAGATATACAGGTGGCCAAAAAACATGAAAAAATGCTCTATATCACAAATCTCAGAGAAAAGCAAATGAATACCACAATGAAATATCATCTCACACCAGTCAGAATGACTATTATTTTAAAAATTAAAAAAAAACACATATTAGTGAGGCTGTGGAGAAGAGGGAACACTTGCGTAAACCTATAGGTGGGAATGTAGATTAGGTCAGCCACTTTGAAAGCAGTTTGGAGATTTTTCAAAGAACCTGGAACCCACCATTGGACTCAAGAATCCCATCACTGGGTATATACACAAAGGAAAATGAATAGGTCTACCAAAAAGACAGATGCACTTACATGTTCACTGCAGCACTATTCACTATAGCAAAATATGGAATCAAGCTAGATGCTCATCAGTGGAAGAGTGAATAAAGAAAATGTGGTGCATGTACACCATGAAATGCTATCCATTCATAAAAATGAATGAAATCATGTCCTTTGCAGCAACATGTTTGCAGCTGTTTTCCATTATTCTAAGCAAATTAATATAGAAATTAAAAAGCATGTATTGCATATTAGCACTTATAAATGGGGGCTAAAAATTGGGTACATATGTACTGAAAGATGGAAAAAATAGACACTGGAGACTACTACAGGTGGGAGAGGAGGAGTGGGAAATGGGTTAAAAAACTACCTATTGAGTACTATGCTCAATACCTGGGTGATGGAATCATTCACATGCCAAACCATAGTGTCACATAATATACCTATGTAACAAACCTGTACATAAATCTAAAATATAAATTGAAATTATTTTTTAAAAAATAAAAAAAGTCATGGTGTTTAAAAAGTTATTTGAAAAGCAAGTATCTAGTAAATAACTTGTGTCCAAAATGCACAAAAAATTCTTAAAACACAGCAGCATGACAGGAAAAAAATCTAATTTAAAAGATTATCACTGACCCACAAAAATATAAATAACCATAAGAGAATATTATGAACACCTCTATACATATAAACTAGAAAATCCAGAAGAAATGGATAAATTCCTAGACACATACATCCTCCCAAGACTGAGCCAGGAAGAAAGTGAATCTCTGAACAGACCAATTATGAGCTCTGAACTTGAATCAGTAATAAATAGCCTACCAACCCACCAAAGTTCAGGAGCAGTAAAATTAACAAAATTAACAAATGAATCCTATCAGATGTTAAAAAAAAAAAAGCTGGCACCATTCCTACTGAAACTATTCCAAAAAAAAAAAAAAAAAGACAAACAGGGACTCCTGCTTAACTCATCCTATGAGGCCAACATCATACTGATACCAATACCTGGCAAAGACACAACAAAAAAGAAAAGTTCAGGCCAATATCCTTGATGAACATAGATTCAAAACTCCTCAACAAAATACTGGCAAACCAAATCCAGCAACATATTCAAAAGCCTATCCACCATGATCCAGTAGACTATCCCTGAGATGCATGCTTGGTTCAACATACGTAAATCAGTAATTGTGATTCATCACATAAACAGAACTGAAGACAAAAACCAAACAATTATTTCAATTGATGCAGAAAATGCTTTTGATAAAATTCAACACCACTTCCTGTTAAAAACTATCCACAAACTAGCTATTGAAGGAACATACCTCAAATAATAAGAGCCATCTATGACAAACCCATAGCCAACATCATACTGAATGGATAAAAGCTGAAAGCATTCCCCTTGAAAACTGGCTCAAGACAAGAATTCCCTCTCACCACTCCTATTCAATGTAGTATTGGAAGTTCTGCCCAGGGCAATCAGGCAAGAGAAAGATATAAAGGGCATCCACATGGGAAGAGAATAAGTAAAACTGCTACTGTTTGCAGAAGACATGATACTGTATCTAGAAAAGCCTATAGTCTTGGCCCAAAAGCTCCTTGAGCTGATGAACAACTTCAACAAAGTCTCAGGATACAAAATCAATGTGCAAAAATCATTAGAATTCCTACAGACCAACAACAGTCAAGCCAAGAGCCAAACCAGGAATGCAATCTCATTCACAATTGCTAAAAAAAGAATAAAATACCTAAGAATACAGCAAAGGAGGTGAAAATTCTCCACAAAGAGAACAACAAATCACTGCTCAAAGAATTCAGATATGACACAAAAAATGGAATCATATTCCATGCTCATGGAAAAAAAAGGATCAATATTATTTAAATGGCAATACTGCCCAAAGCAATGTATTGATTCAATGCTATTCCTATCAAACTAACAATAACATTCTTCACAGAACTAGAAAAAAATATATTAAATTTCATATGGAATCAAAAAAGAGCCAGAATGGCCAAGGCAATTCTAAGAAAAAAACAAAAAACAAAACTGCCTTCAAACTATAGTACAGGGCTACAGTAACCAAAATAGCATAGTACTGGTATAAAAACAGAAACATAAAACAACGAAACAGAACAGAGAGCCTAGAAAGAAGATTGCACACCTACAACTATCTGATCTTTGACAAAGCTGACAAAAATAAGCAATGGAGAAAGGACTCCATATTCAATAAATGGTTCTTGAGCTACTTTGGAAGAACAATGACATATGCATGTACATGGGCATCGCAGCACTATTCACAATAGCCTATATATAGAATCAACTTAGGTGCTTATCAGTGATGGATTGGATAAATAAAATGTGGCACATATACACCATGGAATACTACACAGCCATAAGACAGAATAAAAGCAAATCCTTTGCAGCAACATGGATGCAGCTGGAAGCCATTATCCTAAGCAAACTAATGCAGGAACAGAAAATCATATACCACATGGTCCCACTTAGAAGTGAAAACTAAATGAAGAGAATACACGAACACATAGAGGGGAACAACTGACACTGGGGCCAACCAGAAGGTGGAGGGTGTGAGGAGGGAAAGGATCAGGAATAATAAATAATGAGAACTAGGCCTAATAGCTGGGTGATTAAATAATCTATACAATAAGCCCCCATGACACAAGTTTACCTATGTAACAAAACTGCACATGAACCCCTGAATTTAAAATAGAAGTTAAAAAAAGAAAAGATGAAATTATATTTATCATTGAAGTATGTAATATTTGTAGATATTAGTAATATAAATGTAATATTAGTACAATTTTCTAAACAAGAACTCAGGTTTAACTTTAAATGTTGGTTCAAAAATAGAATCAAAATAGGGAAAGTTAATACAGTTCAGAATACAGCAATACAGCAATATAAATACATCTTTTTGAAACCATAGATAAAAACCTGCTACATGACTTTTCTTATCTTCATTCTTAGAGACCTATTTATTAGTTCACTTTCATAATTTTTCTTACATTATAATGTACTATGTCTACATCAACTCCCTAAGCACAGAAAACATTTGAATCCATTTGTTTACAGTGTACCTATAACAAACCTGAACATATGCCCTGAACTAAAAATAAAAGCTAAGTAAAATAAAATAAAAAATTACAAAAGGAATCTTACCAAAGACTACACAGAAAACAGCAAAGAAGTATACAGAAAGATTATCAATATCATTTGTCATTAGGAAATTGCAAGTTAAATCAGTGAGATAATACTATATACCTGTTAGAATGACTAAAATCTAATAACCGATAATTCCAAATGTTTTTGAGAACTTAGAAAAACAGGAAATGTCATTCATTTCTAGTGGGACATTTGGCAGATTCTTACCAAGCTACAAAGTCCCAGCATTCACATTTCTAGATATTTACCCAGTTCTTTTGAAAATCTTTATCCACACAAAAACCTGCACAAGAATGTATACAGCACCTTTATTTGTAATTACCAATAAATGGACATAACCATGGTGCTCCTCAACAGATGAACTGATAAGCATATTTGTGTAAAACCATACAAGGAATATTATTCAACAATAAAAAATGTGCAATCAATCCACAAGAGCATATGAATGAAACTTAAGTGCATATTTATAAGTGAAAGGAGACATTCTGAAAAGGGTCCATACTGTATTATTACAATTATATGACATTCTAAATAAAGCAAAACTATAGAGTCAGTAAAAAATATAAACTATTCTTGTAATTCATGAGAAGTGGATTGTGTTGAACAGGTCAAAGATGGCATATTTTTAGGGTCATGAGACAATTTCATATGATAGTATAATGATTTAAACCATAGTGCATGTTTCAAAACCTATAGACACCTGTGGCTTTTTGGAGTACAGCCACCCTCCAGTACAGGCTGGCACTGAGTGACTGGCTTTTCCAGGTGCACAGTGCAAGTTGTCAGTAGATCTACCATTCTGGGGTCTGGAGGATGGTCGTCCTCTTCTAAAAGCTCTACTAGGTGGTGCCCAAGTAGCAACTCTGTGTGGGAGCTCCGGTCCCACATTTCCTTTCCACACCGACCTAGCAGAGGTTCTCCATGAACCTGCAGCAAACTGCCTGGACATCCAGGCATTTCCATACATCCTCTGAAATCTAGGTGAAGGTTCCTAAACCCCAATTCTTGACTTCTGTGCATTCACAGGCTCAACACCACATGGAAGATGCCAAGGCTTTGGGCTTGCACCCTCTGAATCCATGGCCTGAGCTCTGCATTGGCCTTTTTCAGCCATGGTTAGAGAGGCTAGGACACAGGACACCAAGTCCCTAGGCTGCACACAGCATGGGGACTCTGGGCCTCACCCATGAAACCATTTTTTCTTCCTAGGTCTCCAGGCCTGTGATGGGAGGGGCTGCCGCAAAGGTCTCTGACATCCGCTGGAGACATTTTTTTCCATTGTCTTGGGGATTAACATTTGGCTCCTCGTTACTTTTGCAAATTTCTGCAGCCCGCTTGAATTTCTCCTTAGAAAATGTGATTTTCTTTTCTATCTCGTTGTCAGGCTGCAAATTTTCTGAACATTTATGCTCTGCTTCCCTTATAAAACTGAATGCCTTTAACAGCACCCAAGTCACCTCTTAAATACTTTGCTTCTTAGAAATTTCTTCCACCAGATACCCTGAATCATCTCCCTCAAGTTCAAAGTTCCACAAATCTCTAGGGCAGAGGCAAAATGCCACCAGTCTCTTTGCTAAAACATAGCAAGAGTTACCTTTGCTACAGTTCCCAACAATTTCCTCATTTCCATCTCAGACTACCTCAGCCAGGACTTTATTGTGCATATTTCTATCAGCATTTTGTGCAAAGCCATTCAACTACTCTTTAGGAAGTTTCAAATTTTCCCACATTTTCCTGTCTTCTTCTGAACCCTACAAACTGTTCCAACCCCAGCCTGTTTCCCAGTTCCAAAGTCACTTCCACATTGTCAGGTATCTTTTAAGCAGCACCCCACTCTACTGGTACCAATTTACTGTATTAGTCTGTTTTTAAGCTGCTGATAAATACACACCCAAGACTGGGCATTTTACAAAAGCAGGAGATCTAATGCACTTACAGTTCCACATGTCTGGGGAGGCCTCACAATCATGGCAGAAAGTGAAAGGCACATCTCACATGATTGCAGACAAGAGAAGAGAGCTTGTGCAGGGAGACTGTCATTTTTTAAAACTATCAGGTCTAGTGAGACTTATTCACTATCACGAGAACAGCACGGGAAAGATCTGCTCTCATGATTCAGTTACCTCCCACTGGCTCCCTCCCATAACACATGGGAATTCAAGATGAGATTTGGGTGGGGACACAGTCGACCCATATCAAAGATGTATTGTAGTTTTGATTGGAATTAATTTAAATTTATAATTAATATTTTTGCAATAATTATATCCAAGTGTATAGCTCATTTTTTCAGTTTTAAGGTTTTGTGAAAACTTTCCTAATGTCTTAAAATATATCTCCTTTCATTCCTTTTTAAGTTGATTCCTGTTTAATATCATTCAAATAAAGAAAAATATAAACATCTCTAAATTTTTTTAACTGTTCCCCTTACTGAAAAGCTCTTTGCATTTTCTTTCTAATAATTTGTCATGGGCTTGTTTTAGATGTTAGTAATAGAAAACCATACTATATTTTAAAAAATAAGTTTTATACTACATTAAATTTTAAAGGGTAAACTTAGAGCCCTATGTACTATTACTCTTTGCCCCTAGTCAGGTTGATAAGAGAGGTAAGTTGGAGTTACAAACTGGCTGTATCTATTGACCCACAACCACTAGTTGCTGCAGCTATATTACTGTTATTTGTCTTTTAGTTAAATCATGTAACAAATTATGTATTATAAATATATATTAAAAATTTTATATATAAACTTATATGTTATATATTACAAATTATATATAAACATATACAATTATAATACATAATTTTACTATAAAAGTTGATATGGTAAATGTGTGTATATTATATATAAATATATTATTGTCTCTGTAATGTATACATTGTATATATAGTATATAGACAATATATAATATATACATAATATTGTTTACATATATAATATGTAAATACAATATATTTAATATACAATTATATATTATATATAATATATTATTGTATTTATGTAATATATACACAAATTTACTATAACAGGTAGGGTAATAACTCAGAAACATTTACATAATTAAAAAAGGATTTATTATTAGAAGCAATACACTAAACACAGGGGTTTATCTTGAGGAATATTATGAGAATATGGAGACATAGGGCATTATATTCCATGAAATTGTTCAGTATTATTTTCCAAATTATCTTTTTATAATTTGATATTTCTTTATGAATATAAAGCTAAACATTTATATTAAGATGGAAACAAAAAGTGAAATGTAATCCATCAACTGCTTACTCTGGTTTATTAACTAAGATGTAAATCAGTATTAGATTTGAATCCCTATCTCATTACTAGAAAGGTACACAACTATGAGGTAAGTCTTTATATTGTTAGCCTTAATTCCCTTACAGGTATAATAAAAATAATTTTACCTATACCTCATGATTTCTTACAAATTAAAAAAGAAAATTATAGGGAGAAATGCAAATGTTTAGATTTTATATGATGAAGATGTTCACCAAACCAACCCAAATATTCATGAGGCAAACAAGTTTTGAGTGTTTAAACAATGTAATTTAAATCAAGTTATAGTTTACCTTAAATCCCCAACCAAAAAAAAAAAATGAAATTATAGGGGAGAAAAACAATTGGATCATATATAAAACCTCAGCATTAAATTTATAATACAAATAGTTGGAAACACAGTCCTTATTGTTATATAGACATTGAAGATTGATCATTTTTGATGGAGTAAATGACATAATTTGCATATGAATAAATTTGAAACCATATAGAATGTATATTACTTTAAAAAGAAATCACATAAGTTTTCAGTAGTTATTATTGAGTTGGGAATAGCCTTTGAGGAATTAAATGAATACTTTCTCTTTGCATTTACCAAACAGATTAAGAACAGATGCTGGAAATTTACGTACAATTCCCAAGAGCAAAAGAATAACCGAAGTTTAGGAAAGACAGGTGGTCAAGCAATTAAAATATCTGCATCTCAAAAATCTCTAGGGTACAATAAAATCCCCACAAGAATTCAGAAATAAAAGCACATTGCTCTGAAGAATATTTTCTTTAATATTGAGACATACTTTTAAAGAGTGACAAATATGGATGAATTAATTTTTACTTTTAGAAAAAACAAAGTAGATGAGAAATACGGTGGGTATATAAAGTTCTAGGATTATAGGACAACAGATATATTAGTTAATAATATGTTAAATGAACTTAAAAATATTGTGACATTGTGTCTATTATCACTTTTTTGCCTTAAAGAGCAATTGCTTCAAAATTTCAGAGTATAACGGCATTCTTTGAACTGCCAACCACTCACGAAAAGATTTTACATATTAAAGAAAATAAAACTTGTTCATTGTGTTTTTCCTCTGCTAACTTTGTTTAATTTAAAAAAATGAGTAAATCAAGGCCCACACGACTTAAAATGAACTTGAATCAGACAAAACGAAGAAGAGGGAAAAGTTGATTAGTAATTGCATAAAAGGAAAACACATCTGTAATCTTAAAAGCTTAACTGAAAAGCTATATTAGATGATTAAATATTATGCATTCTAGGGCTACAGAAGCAAGCAGAATAGGCTTCTATTGAGTTCAAACATACTTGATAATAAAATTAACAAAAAATATATTATTTCTACTATGGTAAGTAATGTTCTGTGTTTTGTTTGTGTGAATTAAATATGTAAATACAAATAGAACATATCATTTTAAATAAAAAAGATAATTTACAACAAAATGTGGATTTATTAATGTTATCTAATATAACTGAATGCCTATAAAATAATACTCCAAAATGTTTTATGTTATTATGATTTATACAATACATGTTTCTGAAGAATATATGCATATATTTATGTGCATATGCTATTATGCACATTTTCTTCTAATTTAAGACTTTTATTGTGCCCTTCACTTCCACGCATCTCCAAAAGCTCAGGAGGAGGCCTACAATATATTGAGGAACTGGACAAGTCCAGTGACCTTTTATTTCCCCAGGAATGATCCCCACTGTTTCCCTGGGAGGTTGTTCCATTGCTTACAGCTTCCATTCTGCTGTGGACTGCATTGTGTTCCTTCAAAATGTATGTATTAAAGCCTTAACCCCCAATGTGACTGTATTTGGAGATACATTCTACAAGGAGGGAATTAGGCTTAAATGAGGTGATCGAGTGGGGCCCAAACCTAATGGTTTAGTATTTTTCCTTATAAGAAGAGACACCAGCAGATCTTCTTTTCCTTTCTCTCTGCAGTCACATAAAAGAGACCATCTGCAAGTCACACCAGAAAGTGCATCATATGACACCTTGATCTTGTACTTCCCAACCTCTTCAACTGTGAGAAAATAAAGGTCTGTTGTTTAAGCCAAAATAAACAAGCAAACAAAAAAATATAACTTTGGCTTAGTAGAATATATCACCTCATAAAGAAGAACCTACGTTACAGTTAACCCTTGAACAACACAGGTTTGAATTGTGCATGTCAACTTATACATAGATTTTCTTCTGTCTCTGCCATCCTGAGGCTCCAAGACCAACCCCTTCTCTTTCTCCTCCTCCTCAGCCTACTAAACTGAAGATTATGAGGATGAAGACCTTTATGATGATTCACTTCCACTTAATAAATAAAAATATATATTTTCTCTTCCTACTGATTTTCTTAATGATATTCCTTTTATCTTGCTAACTCAACTGTAAGAATACAGTTTGTAATACATACACAAAATATGTGTTAAAAGAGAGGTTATCAGTAAGTCTTTTTGTTAACAGTAGGTAACTAGTTGTTAAGTTTTGGGGAGTCAGTGGTTACATGACTGGTTTTTGATAGCTTCAAGGGTCGACTGCATATTCTTTTAACAAATATTACTGATATTTAATAACTGAATAATTTCATTTTGGGTCAACAATTAATCAACCTCTATCTGTTGAATATGAAACTGAATTTAATTGCCTGTTAAATAGAAAAAAAAATAGATCTGGGACTAATAAGTTCACACACTTAAGTCCAGAGGTCTTCTGCCTTTAATATTTTAACTATAAAATAAGTTACAGAGTATGATAAAAGATTATAGAATCAAAACACAAAGATAGCCATGGGAGGTCCTAAAAGGAAATAGGTGCATCTCTAGCAAGTGGCAAAGACAGAGCCTGGAAAAATCTCATGATGATAATAACTTGGCAAAAAAGGTAATTTTATGGAGTGATAACTTCAAAGGTTTCTGGGATTCTTTTTATTAGAATTATCCTTAGTTAACAAGAATATATCACACTTGTATTTGTTGACTATTAGCTGTATGCTGTGTACCAAGTCTTATGGTAGATGCTACCCACTGGAAGTTAGATGTGGTCTCTATTCTCATAAATCATGCAATCTATTGGAGGTGTCATTTGACTAAATGATAATATTAATGTCAAGCCCTACAACCCTTTGGTGGAAAATTCAGGAATATAAAACTGGAACTTTCGACCTTGTATCCAATGTTAGTGCATCTCAAATGAAGTGACAGTGAGGATTACTAGGAATCAACCAGGTAAAGAGAAGACACTAAAGGTTTCCAGTCAGAGGAAATAACATAAGAAAAGGAATGAGTTCATTCAATATGGCTGCAGATAAAGTGTAGGGAGTGAGGATAGAATGGGAGACTGAAAAAGTTAAAAATGGGTTACATCCTGAAGCACTTCACAAACTGGATGCATTCCTTGTAGATTGATTATTAACAAAAAGCCTGACTGGCATTTCTGTATTGAGGGGCATTAGTGATTTTGCTTCTCAGAAAGAACATTGTAGGTGCAGCATTGTGAAATAATTTAGCAAAAGGCAAGTTAATCTAAAGGAAACATGATGGTGACCTAAATGAAGGAAATGGTAAAAGCAACAGAGTTAGTCTTTTTTCAAATTAGAGAAAATGGTGGTTATATTTTAGGGGCGAAAGAGAAAAAGAAATTAAAGATAATACTGAAATATTTTAATCTAAAATTAACAGTTTTCCAGGAACTTTGCTAAATGCTTTAAACATCTTTGTACAACCTTGTGAGGCTAAGAACAACTTACAAATGTTAAAACAGGCTAAAGAGGTAAACTATCTTACCAGTCATCTCACTACCAATAAGTGATGGAACAAAATTAAAAGTAAAAAAACTAATATTTGATTCAGAGCATATATTATCATCCACTGCTTCATTTTAAAGAAGCAACAGCTATTTAGATTCATGGTACATTTAATTACCAATTATAGGTATATATAATTTAATTAATAACCTCATAATTATATAAACTGAAATAAAGTCAGCTGTTCAAAACATTTAAGAAAAATTTATGGGTGCTGTGGAGCCAGCGTTGAGTGAATTTGAGAATGAAGGTACATACAGAGACAGACAATGTTGATTTTCATTGTTCTAAGTAGCAGAGTTAGTGCTGGTAATTGAAATGGCAGTCGTGGCAGATAAAGACAGAACGGAGCAGAGGAGAAATGAATATATCTGAAGAAATGGCAGAAACAGCAAAGACAAAGGCAATCATCCCAGAAATGTCACAGTCCTGGTGAGCTGATACTACTTCAAGAAAAATTTCAGTGACAGATGGATATAACAGGAGCTACATCAGAAGTAGAAGGCAAAAAATAAATGGTGGCCGGGCGCGGTGGCTCACGCCTGTAATCCCAGCACTTTGGGAGGCCGAGACGGGCGGATCACGAGGTCAGGAGATCGAGACCATCCTGGCTAACACGGTGAAACCCCGTCTCTACTAAAAATACAAAAATTAGCCGGGCATGGTGGCGCGCGCCTGTAGTCCCAGCTACACGGGAGGCTGAGGCAGGAGAATGGCGTGAACCCGGGAGGCGGAGCTTGCAGTGAGTCGAGATCGCGCCACTGCACTCCAGCATGGGCGACAGAGCGAAACTCCGTCTCAAAAAAAATAAATAAATAAAAATAAAAAAAAAATAAATGGTGCTATAGGTGGTGAGAAAAGAAATCTTTGCAGCATATGATACAGTGGTTTGGATCCAAAAAATGACTTTGATACTGATCCAGTTTATATATCGATATTGATATTGAAGTGCTGATACTACTTCAAGAAAAATTTCAGTGACAGATGGAGATAACAAAAGATACATCAGAGATAGAAGGTAAGAAATAAATGGTGCTATGGGTGGTGAGAAAGGAAATCTTTGCAGCAGATAATGCAATGTTTTGGATCCAAATATGACTTTGATAATGATCCAAGTCTACATCTGTATCAGTATTACTTTCCTTTTAATTTGCGAGTAGTATGCCATTGAGTGGATGTACCACAATTTGTTTTGCCATTCAATTCCTTAATGCGTATTTGGGTTATTTCAATTTGGGATACTATGTTTAACTGAATAAGAAATTTTAAAACTTTATTTCCAAAGTGTTTGTACCATTTAATAGTCCCACCAGTAGTGTTGCTTGGCATTCTAGTCCACCCTTTCTCGTGGGCAAGCAGTCATATTGTCTTGTGATTTTAATTTCCATTTTCCTGATGAATAATGGGGTTTTACATCTTTTTATACCATCATGTGTCACCAAACATTTTGGTCAGTGATTGACTGTATACAATGATGATCCCATAAGATTATAATACCACATTGTTACTATGCATTTTCAATATTCAAATATGTTTGGATACACAAATACTTACCATTCTATTACCATTGCCTACAGTATTCAGTATCGTAATATGCTGTACAGGTTTGTAGCCCAGGAGCAATAGAACCATATAGCCTAGGTGTATAATAGGCTATACCATCTAGTTTCGGATAAGTATGGTCTATGATGTTTACATAATGATGACATGGCCACACAACACATTTCTTAGAATACATCACCCTTATTAAATGATGCATAACTGCATGTATATTGGTCATGATCCTAGTAATGTTTTTATTTAAAATATTTTACATATTTTTTATTGCACTACTTATTTTCACATCTGTGAGTTTTAAGAATTCTTTACACAGGAACACATATGTTTAGCCTGTGGATTGCATTTTAATTTCTCTAACCTTATTTTTTTAAAAATAGAAGCTTTACATTTTTGCAAAGACCATTTTATCAGTTTTTTTAATGTTTCAGCATTATGTTACTAAATTAAATGTTTGACTACCCCAAGTTTGCAAAGAGATACTCCAACATATTCTACAATATCAGATAATTTTGGGGTTTAGCATTCAAAAATTTTAGTCTATGACACATTTTGAGTTAATTTGTATGCTCAAGTATAGATTAAAAATTAAGATAGTCTGGTTTCTACTATTTTAGCACCATTTGTTGAAAATTGCTTTCTTATTAACTTAGCTGTGCTCATTTTGCAAATCAATTGACTGTGTATATGTGTGTTTCCAGACTGTATTCTAAAACCAGTATGCATTTACCTATCTATATCTATATTTATGATAATTTAACACTGCTTTAATTACTGCAACATATTTTAAGACTTGAAATCAAGAAGAAGAAATCACCCAACTTTATTCTTCATTTTCAAAATTATATTAGTTATTACACACTCTTTGTGCTTACATATATATTTTAGAATCAGCTTATACGTTTCTGTAGGTAAACCTTCTTAAAATTTTGACCTAGATTACAATGGATCTGTAGAACAGTTTCGGGAAACATTAATGGTATTCAGTCTTCCTATCCATGAACATGATATATCTCTCCTATTATTTCTTCTTTTATTTCACCTAGTAATATTTGTAGCACTTTAAAATAAAGTTCTTGTACATATTATTACATGTAACCATATTTATTTCATATTTTATACTCTTATAAGTAATGTTATATTTAACTTAACTTTCTAATTGTGTTTTTTCTAAATATACTAAAAACAGTTGATATATGAGTAGTAACCTTTTATTTCCTAATCTTACTAAATCACTTCTTATTTCTATTGGCTTTTTTTAATGCTATCTACATATAGAGTCATTTTTTCTATGAGCTAAGAGAGTTTTACATCTTTCTTTACATTCTGTATGCATTTTATTTTTTCATTACCTTGTTAAACTGGGGATGCCTTCAACTATAATGTTGAATAGCAATAAAACAAAGTTGTTTTCTGTTTCTGCTTCTATTTAGCATTGTAGTTTTCTAAGCAAATTTGAATATGTTGTGTTTAATTTTTGTTAAGTTCAGAATAGTTGTTAAGCATTTTTGTTTTATCTTTTGAAGCATATGTAATTTAGAGATGTGTTGCTCACTTTCTAAACAACAGTTTTTTTAAAAAAAATTTTTGTTAATTATCAACCCAAAGTCAATGTGATCATAGTTCATATACTGCATAATAATCTTTAAAAATTGTTGAGAGTTCCTCTATAATACTTCATATGGTCTATTTTGTTGAAAATACTATGTTCACTGGAAAAAGAGCATGTATTCTGTTATTGTATAAACTGTTAATAAATGTTAATTATGCTCAATTTGTTCATTATGTTGTTTAGTTCTTTTATAACCTAAGTGATTTTCTGTAGGTGTGGTGTATAAATATGGGAAGAGTGTTATTAAAATACGTAGTTACAATTGTGCATTTGTCTGTTCTAGGTTACATCAGTTTTTACTTTATATATTTTGACATCATTGTTGGGGGACATACAAAATTGTTATGTCTTCTTATTGACTTGTTATCTTTCTCATTGTGAAATTCTCCTCTTTTTTTCTTATTTTCTAAGACTGTATTGTCTTATAGTAATGTAGCCACTGTGGCTTTTTTACACTTTGCATAATATAACTTTTCCCATATTTTATTTTGGTCCTATGTATGTCTTTATATTTCAGTTGAGTTTATGCATACAGCAAGTGGTTGGTCTTTCTTTTTATATCTAGTATGACCATCTCTGTATTTTAATTATAATCTTTAGTCTATTTCCACCCATTTTAACTGTACATATAAATTCATATCTACCATACAGTTTTTTAAAATTGTATCCTCATTTTTCATTTTCTATTTTCTTTTGCATTAATTTAGTATATTTTGGTATTTGATTGCTTATTAACTATGTATTTTATTGTATTTTCATTTTTTCTTTGGGATTTACAATATGCATTTTAATCACAGTATCCCTTCTATTATGTTATACCATTTAATTTTCTGTGCGTGACACTTAAAAGGGTATAATTTCATTTCTCACTTCTTGAATCTTGTGCTATAATAGTACTGTATGTTGCTTCTTCATAAGATATAAAACACACAATGCATTTAAACAATTGATAATATTTTGGAAAAATGTTTAAAGTTAAAAAAACCTGTTTTACATTTACTTTAATATAATTTGTCTGCTAGCATCAATTTTTTTAACCTTTCTTTTTTTATTTCACCTTATTTATGGATATATTTGCTGTATATAAAAGTCTACTTGAACAAATTTCTTCTTTCAGCACACGAAGACTTTATTTTTATTATCTTCTGGATTGCATTGTTTGATATTAAAAGTTAACTGTCATTCATATTGTACTTTTTTTCTATAGGTAATATGGAGTTTTATGGGGAATTCTCACTGTTTTTTAACATTTTAATTATGATGGTTCTTGTGGTATTATTTTCCGTGTATATACTACTTACATTTGTTAAACATCATGGAAATATGTAATTACACTTTATTTATTCAAATATATTCTCCTCATCATCACGACTCTCATTTCTTTAACAATTCCAATTGCATGTGCAAAAATATTTGATAATTTACCTCAGGTAACTGAATCACTGAAACTTTTTTCCTTTCTCATTTTCTTCTCTCGTTCTTTATTTTTGATATATATTATTACTTTATTTTCAAGTTTACTATATGTTTCTTTTGTAGTGCCTAATTAACTTTTAAGTTTCTACAAAAATATTGTTATTACAGCCATTTTCTTTTTTAACTCTCAAATTTCCATCTGGTTCCTTTGTATGTTTTATTTCTTTAGCTATATGTTTTATGTTCCACTATATGGTTTGTTTTGTTGAATGTTTTCCGTGCACCTGAAAAGAGTATGTCTTCTGCTGCTGTGGTGTGAAATGTTTCTTAAATGACAATTAGGTTTTCTTTGTTTATTCTATTGTTCAAGACTTCTACAGCTATTAATATATCTATACGTATTCTTTTTTGTCTTTTAGCTATATGAATGTTAGAGAGAGCTTTAAAATGTCAACCTTTAACTGTAGATATTTGGTTTTCTACAATTTTAGTATGCATAGCCCTGTAAAACATCTTTTTCTGCTGGTTACATCATCTCTCTCTTTTTTTGTTGTTGATTCTATTGAGTGATAATATTCCTAGCTTTGGTCATATATTTTTCTCTTGGCATGTCTAATAATTTGTGATCTGACATTATGCACTATGAGTTATGTTAATGAATTATCACATCAATGAATTATCACATCAATGAGTTACATCATGTTTATGCTGTATGTTGTTTTTATGTAATTTCCCATTGGACTTTAAAAAAAAAATCAGCCTTTTTTTTTCTGATTGTTTTGATCTATTTTAGACTTAGTATTTAGTTTTCCTAAGAAGGGTCCAAAGTAGTGTTCAATTCAAGGCCACTACTATTAATATATGTCCCTTCTGGAGTATCCACTATGTTATCCAGATGATCACGACAGTCTTACTGCTATTATTGTGATTGTCTTGTGGAGTTATACTTCAAAGAAGAGGGACCTAGTACACAGAAAATAAAAGGGACTCCATATGTAGAGGTCTTTTTCTGAGTAATTTCTCCTTTCTAGAACTCTAGCCTGCAATTTTCAATTACCTGAGCATCCTGACACTACTAACTCTGACACCTCAAGTTAGAAGGTCTGCCAAGCTCTGTTTTCTTTTTCATTTCTTGTGTGTACAGTCTTAAAATTGCCTTAATTAATAAAAATATACACACATAGTGCTTGACTTAATATTCACTATGTTTCTCTTCTATTTGTACTTAGAGTTGTATGCTTTTTGTTTAATATTTTTAAAAGTATTATTTTATATATTTTGCAGAGATTTCTAGTTGTTTATAAGGGGAGGTTAAGCCTGAACCTTGTTTTTCCTCAATGACTAGCAGTGGACTTCTAATTATATTTATCACATTAATTATTGAATAAGACTATAAACCTGATCAAAGCAAAGTCTATGTGCGTTCTCACAAGTAAATTCTGTAAATGAGCATAAGGCCATCCAATAAAAAATTTTAATAAATATTGGCTTAATTAATTTCTTTCTAAATTTATGCTCAGAGAGATTAAATTGCTTAAATCACTTACTTGCTTATAGATATTTATCAAGCTACTAAATCTAGGTTTGTCTAGTTTGAAAATCTGCACTGTTTTTGTTAGACCAAACTGATGTGCTAAGACTTCAGTGTGAGTTTTCAAACGAAGTTATTTTTCTGTCATTAGCAGTGATTTTACTATAATCTAAAAGTTCTTTTATCTTTCTTGGGGTATACTAATTTAAAGGAATTAATATGTAATTTTCTATTGTTAGATTAAGTTTGATCTTGGAAGATAATATTTTGCATTTTCTTTAACGGAATTTTATAAAGAAATGCATTTATGAAATATTACTACTCAACAGATATATAGCAATTTGTGTGAGCTCTTTATTTCCTCCCTTTTTAAATCAAATCACCTTTAGACTTCAGAAAAATAGCAAGGAGTTCTTGAGTAAAGCAGATCCTATTTTGCCTCAGTTTTTCATTATTCTTTTCAGGCACACCATATATTTTTTTAAACGCTGATGCCTGAAAACTAACTTTATTTTCTAAATTTACTTAGTTGTTGTCTTGTTTTATTCATTTGCATTGCTTTTTCTTTAAGAATATTATAACACCAAGTTAGCTTAAGGGATGCCCTCCTTCCTATGATTTCTATTAATTATTCTTTTTTTTTTTTTTGACGAAGTCTTGCTCTGTCACCAAGGCTGGAGTGCGTGGAGCGATCTTGGTTCACTGCAAGCTCTGCCTCCCAGGTTCAGGCCATTCTCCGGCCTCAGCCTCCCAAGCAGCTGGGACCACAGGAGCCCGCCACCATGCCCGGCTAATTTTTTGTATTTTTAGTAGAGATGGGGCTTCACCGTGTTAGCCAGGATGGTCTCGATCTCCTGACCTTGTGATCTGCCCAGCTTGGCCTCTCAAAGTGCTGGGATTACAGGCAGGCGTGTGCCACTGCGCCAGGCCTTAATTACACTTTTGATAGGAGTTCAAAAATTCATCATGGACGTATAATTTAGCCATGATCTGTAGAAAGAGCAGGAAGTTCAAAAACTTAAATCTACAAGGTAGGTTATTTTATTTGTTTTGAAATTTACATTGGTTTCTTGTATTTTTTATACATTTTTCTTTTCACTACTGTTGTGCTCTAGACTTAAAAGACCAAGCAAAAATAAATGGGTACGCCCCCCCAAAAAAGAGAAAGAATGAGTAAGACTTACTATGTGATAAGACAGCAGCGTGACTATAGTCACTAATAGCTTAGTTGCACATTTAAAAATAAAGAGTATAATTGGAGTGTTTGGAACTCAAAGGATAAATGCTTGAGGGGATCGATACCACATTCTCCATGATTTGCTTATTTCATATTATATGCCTGTATTAAAACATCCCATGTACCCCATAAATATATAAACCTACTATGTAGCCACAAAAATTAAAAATAAAATAAATAAATGAAATAGAAATAAATAAATATTAAAAAGCCAGGAAAATGTCCTCTTCTGTATGTTCTAGACTAAAATGGCAAAGGGCATAGTTCATGCCTGTTTTACCAGGTAATGGTAGCAAAGAGATGCTAGAAAATACAAGGAAAATGAGTAATTTCTGGCCTTTTATTCTACAAATATTTACCGGGCAATATCTCTGCACTAAGCGCTGTTTTAGATAGTAGGAAGCCTGGTAACTAAAGTAAGGTTTCCCATTATAATGAAAACAAATGATTAGAAATAAAAAGATATATAATGTAATATCAGATAGTGATAAGAATTTTCCATATAAATGAAGTAGGTTAAGAGAATAGGGGAGAATTATTCAGTAGAATTCTCTGTAATAGTGGAAATATTTTATATGCTCTATCTAATATGAAAGCTACTAGTTACATTTGATATCAAAAGTGAGATAGAAGACAAAATTTTTAAATTTTAATTTAATTTTTGTTTAAATTTTAAAATAAAATAGGCACATGAGGTTAGTTGCAGAGGGATGTTTCCTCTCTGAAAGTAATATTTAACCAAAATCTGAATGAAGTATGGGAAAGAGTCCTCATTTATCTAGAAGAACACTTCATTTGGAAGGAAGAACAAAACCACTGAGCTAGGGGCATGCTTCGTTGCTGTTCCTATAATGGTTTAAGAAGCTTGTTTGTTCCAATATTTGTGTATTTCAGATTAATCAAAGTACATGCTGCCTTTGCTGGTTGAAGTAAGTAAAAAAGTGGTCCAGAAAATAAAGCTTGTTGCCTCACATACATCATATTATGCGTTCCGAAAGTTATTTCAGTATATACATATGAAAGAAGTATATTTCATCATATCTGAGCTGAGTAAAGTTTTTTGAGCAACTTCATGAAGGAATTGAATTCCTCATACTGTGACCTGCCTCGGTAGTAAGCCAGGTAAATCAAAGTATTGGTGGAATATTTAACATAATATTTGAAACACGTGAACAGGCAAAAATAATTAACTTACTTACCTGACTTCTCTGACACTGGAATGCACTGAAAGTGCCACACAGCGTTTTAGTTTACAAATGACAAGCAGTTAACACAGCGCTTTCCATTATGTTTTTGGATTTTAAAAATTGTAATGAGAGAATATTTAAGTAAAATAAATTACAATTAATTAAATTTATCAAATACAAAATGACATATATGTGCTTAGGACTATGATTTACAGAATACCATTTTTCAGATCATTTATTACCATGATTAAACAAATAATTTAATACAATTATGAATAGTACCTGTATCTATTTTAATCTATGGTATTATATTTCAACCAAGATCAAATTTCATAAAACTATGTAAGAAAATTCTTAACTCATTTTGGTTGTAGAGAAGCTTTATTTTAGTATGGATGATTTGTTTAGTGGAATACTTTCATGGTAGTTCTTTAAACTGATCTAGCCTTACACCATTCAAATAGATTTTAAAAATTCAGAATATATTTTAAATAAAATGTACTTTATTTGTTCTATATATATATATATATATGTAATTACAAATAACTAACAGTATTTGGCAAGTTTAATTACATTCTTCTTCATTATTTTTCTGGAATTTTCCAAGATGTCTTTACTGAGGTTTTTTTTTTTTTTTTTTTTTTTTAGGCAGCATGGATATTTATGTGAACTCCCTCAGATTCAGGCAACGTCTTCTCAATGGCTTAGGAAATGTCAATTGACAAATAGCACACATAAGCTTGACCCACGTCTTGCATTCCAATCTTGGAGTGACAGCCAAACTTCTTGGAAGGTATTAACTTCCGTGATCTATTGGCACTAAGTAAACAAAAGAGAACACTTTCTGTGCCTCAAGAAAATCCCAATGAATTACAGAAAACAGCAATTAAAAATTAAAAATAACTATTTGTTCAACGATCCGCAAAAATAAGTCTCTTCTGAGAACTTTTGAGTGGCTTTGCACTTAAATTTCTTGTCAAGTTCATAATTCTGAGTGCTATTTAAAATATTTTAGATCAGACAAAATGAAAAAAGGTCTGTCATAAATTCTATCTTACTAGCATACTATTAATACTAAAAATGATAAAGATAGTCTGAAAACAAACTGATGATTGATGTAGGTCAAAAACTATAAAGTACAACAAATGGAGTTTGTCATTTGGCAGTATATCAGAAGAATTATTTCCAAAGACCAAGTAAGACACAGACCTCTAATTCAGGAGCATTCATCATGAGAGAAGTTATTGTCCTAATTCATTATTTCAAAAAAAAGGAAGATAAAGACGTGATAATGTCAATAAATATGAAAAATTATTCAGATAATATTTACTAGTCATTTACTAAAAATTAAGTAAAATAATAAAAGGAAGTAATTGTTAAATATGATCAAGACCATATAAACCAGCCAGGCGCGGTGGCTCATTCCTATAATCTCAGCACTTTGGAAGGCTGAGGCGGACAAATCATGAGGTTAGGAGTTCGAGACCAGCCTGGCCAATATGGTAAAACCCTGTCTCTACTAAAAATACCAACAAATTGGCTGGACGTGGTGGCACGCACCTGTAGTGCCAGCTACTTGGTAGGCTGAGGCAGGGGAATTACTTGAACCCGAGAGGCGGAGGTTGCAGTGAGCCGAGATCGCCACTGCACTCCAGCTGGGCTACAGAGCAAGACTCCGTCTCGAAAACAAAACAAAACAAACAAACAAAAAGAAACACCTCAGTCATTTAGTAAGGTAATTATATTACTGAATGCCTGAATTTTTTTTTTTTTTTTTGAGACAAAGACTTGCTCTTATTGCCCAGACTTGGTGCAATCTCGGCTGACTGTATTCTCCGCCTTCCAGGTTCCAGCGGTTCTCGTGCCTCAGCCTCTCTAGTAGCTGGGATTACAGATGCTCACCTCCATGCCCGGCTAATTTTTGTATTTTTAGGTGAGGCGGGGTTTCGCCACATTGGCCAGGGTGGTCTCAAACTCCTGACTGACCTCGGGTCATCTGCCTGCCTCGGCCTACCAAAGTGCTGGGATTACAGGCGGGAGCCACCGTCCCTGGCCTAGAATGGGGCTTTCAATCACTTCTTTTAAAAACAAAATTTTGTAAACCATTTGACTACAAAGATCTATATTTCATGGAATCAACACCTGTATGCTGTACAATATGTTAAATTATGTTTTAATTGGCTTATCTGGAAGTTTTAGCCCCAAGAGGTAATTCCACATACTAAATGTAGGGTTAAGTCGGGGTTAAACCTTTCTTTTCTATCAAATAGAAAGGAGTGGTTGTGAAAGGTGAGAAGAGATATTTCTCCATCACAGATATGTTCTCAGGCAGATCTGTTTTAAAAAAGGGTACATGTGAAGTCAAGAATCTGGAAAATTATTCTTGTAAGACTCAGTCAGAGCAAGCATACCTATAAAACCTTCTTCGCAAGTACAATATCTTGGTTTGAAGACCACACTCAAAAATGTATTCCCTAACAAGATAAAAGGCAAGTAATCCATGAATAATGAAAATGTGTGTCATGAGTCCAACCAAGAAACAAAGAATTTCTTTTTAAAATTTTATGTGGCAGGAAGGTTAGTATGGACTCAAATAGAGACTTTTAGAAAAATTTCTCCTTAAGATTTTGGAAACATAAAAAGTGTCTCTAAAATTAGAAAGTTTGAATCTAATGTATTATTTAATTAAAAAAATAGATAAAAGGGAATATAGTGTATTTATAGTATAGGAATCTAATGTACTATATGGTGTAGTATATTCCTACATTGCCTGTTTCAATAGAAATGTAAAATAATAGATTCAATATTTTATTCAATATTTTATTGATTTCTATTCAATTGAATAGAGTACAGTGTACTATATTCCTACATGACCTGTTTCAGTAAAATAAATATTCGCCAATGGATGTTATAAAAGAAATACTGGAATATGCCCATACATAATTGGGTGATTTAAGCTATATTATGTTTTTTCAAATAATTTAATGTTAAATACAGAAATGATGTAAATAATATTTTATTTATTCTTTTAGTAAAATAAAGGAAGCAAAACATGACTTTTTAATGGTATTTTTACAAGGATTTTTCTCACATAATAAAATTTAATGGCTTAATGGCATATTTCCTTCATTTATAAACATTTCATCATGAAATCTAACATAAAAGTTTACTACATAAATATAATTTATGTTTATATTATTTTAGAAAAACGAAGTTACTCCTTGATGTCCATGCTCAACTTTACAGGTTGCCTTGCTTCCCCTGCGAATTTTTCAGGGAGAGAAAATGCTACCTTTAATCATATGCTTTATTACTTTTTCTAAATGAAATCTTCAGCAATATTTTTCAGCATGTTAAGAAGAGATGCTTAGAATTTGGGACTGAATATGAAAGGAATTCTATAGGTTAAAATTTATATCAACATGAGTAGAGCTAGAAGTAATGATAATCAAATATATCTGCATATTTTAAAAAACTATTTCAACTTATGTTTACAATCATATAATTTATTCATGCTGTATCAGCCATGTGATTACAATAAAGCTACTGTAAGCACCAAGTCTCATTAAGTTTAGCAGGAAGATGAAGCAACCCCAAAACAGAGACACACTAAAGTTGAATTTTTAAATCATTGAACAGAGCACTAAGATTTTATTTCCTAAACTTATTGGAGCATGTAGGATTTGAGGGGAAAATTAATGTAGATGTGTAAACCTTTATGCTTATAATTCTTTTTGTTATTATCTTATGAAAAGTGATTGATGGAAAGTGTTTTAGGATTATTGAAAGACTTAAAGGTAGAAAGCAGGCAGAGCAAGATGACCAAATAGAACCCTCCAACAATCACTCCCTCCAACCCCAAGAACATAAAGTTGAACATCTATCCATGCTAGAAAGCACTTCCATTAGAACCAAAAATTAGGTAAGCAGTCACAGAATATAGTGTTAACATTATATCAAGGAAAGAGGCACTGAAGATGGTAGAAAAGACAGTCTTGGTATCTACACTACCCCTTCTAATCCCTTGGCAGTGGACAGAGAGATTCTGTGTGCTTATCGGAGGGAGAGCAAAGTGATTGTGGGAATTGCATTGGAAATTAATGCTGCTCTGTCACAGAAGAACAAAACACACAGCACAATTCTGGCACCCATGGAGGCAGCAGTTAGACTACCCTCAGCTAGAGAAGATTCCTCTGCCCTAGCAGTATAAACCTGAATTACATCTAATTCCACTATCTGACCAAAGTGGTCTAGAGTCCTAAATAAATTTAGGCCACAAGGCTGCAGTCTTTGGGCAAGCCCTGGGGCTTGGCTAGACTCAGAGTCAGTGGACTTGGTGGGGCACGTGACCCAGTGATACACAAGCTGTGGTGTCCAAGGGAGTGCTTGCATCACCCCTCCCCCAACTTCAGCCAATGCAGCGTGGGAAGAGACTCCATGCCCCTGCAAAATGAAGAGGAAAGAGTACTCTGCCTTGCAAGAGTCTCTGCTTGAGTACTAGCTCAGTTACAGTAAAATAAAGCACAAAGCAGTTTTCTGAAGACCCTATTGCTAAGCCCTAGCTACTGAACGGCTTTTCGTGTTTGTGATGGAGTTTCACTTTTGTTGCCCAGTCTGGAGTGCAATGGAGTGATCTCAGCTCACTGCAACCTCTGCCTCCCAGGATCAAGCAATTCTCCTGCCTCAGCCTCTAGAGTAGCTGGGATTACAGGCATGTGCCACCATGCCCGGCTAATTTTTTGTATTTTTAGTAGAGATGGGGTTTCTCCATGTTGGTCAGGCTGGTCTCGAACTCCTGACCTCAGGTGATCCCCCCATCTTGGCCTCCCAAATTGTTGGGATTGCAGGCATGAGCCACCACGCCCAGCTGGACTGCATTTTTGGATCTGCTGTGGACCCACAAAGGAACTTGCTGTCACACAGGGAAGAACTCAGTCCTGGTAATATTCACTACGTGCTGTCTAAAGATCTCTTTTGCCTTGAATAAACATCAGTGATAGCCAGGAAGTAGTCACCATGGGCCTTGGGACAACCCAGTACTATGCAGGATTCAAGTGTCACTCAGTGTTGTTCTAGCTGTGATGGACATGAGAGTGCTTGCATCACGCTCCCACCAACTCCAGGTATTCCAGCAAGGAGTGGTGCCTTCTGCTTGAGGAAAAGTGAAGAAAAAGAATGAAAGTCTTCCTGTGAATCCAGGAAATTCTCCTGAATTGTACCCAAGCCCATCAAGGCAGCAGGAATCTGCAAAGTTTTTAAAATTCTTGAGTTGGAGACATTCTCTAGTGCAGATAAAACTGCATTAATCAGAGACTTAGTTTACAACACTTAATTTCCTTTGAATATCTGGAAAGCCTTCTCAAGAAGGATGGATAGAAACAAATCCAGATTGAGATTAGAATAAGTACCCAACTCTTGAATCCTAGATATCAGTGAACATCCACAAGCATCAATAACATCCAGGAAACATGATCTCACCACAATAAGTAGATAAAAACCAGTCACTAATCTCAGAGTGACAGAGGTATGCAGCCTTTCAGACAGAGAATTCAAAATCGCTGTTTTGAGGAAGCCAGATAAACTTAAAACAACACAAAGAAAGACTTCAGAATCCTGTCAGAGAAATGTAACAAAGAGATTAAAATAATGAAAAAGCAAGTAGAAATCCTAGAGTTGAACATTTTAGTTAATAGACTTAAAACTTCTTAGAGTTTCTCAACAGCAGAATTGATTGAGCAGAAGAAAGAATGAGCTAATTTGAAGACACACGATATAAATACACAATCAGAAGAGAAATCATACACAAAAAAAATTTTAAAAAGCATGTCTTTTTGCAGGCAGGATGGCTAAATAGGAACAGCTCCGGTCTGCAGCTCTCAGTGAGATCAATGCAGAAAGCGGGTGGTTTCTACATTTCCAAATGAGTTACCCAGTTCATCTCATTGGAACTGGTTAGACAGTGGGTGCAGCCCAAGGAGGGCAGCCAAAGCAGGGTGGGGCATCGCCTCACCCAGGAAGCGCAAGGAGTGGGGGAACTCCCTCTCCTGGCCTAGGGAATCCATTAGGGACTGTACAGTGCACGCAGGCCCAGATACTGCGCTTTTCCCACAATCTTGGCAACTTGCGGACGAAAAGATTCACTCTGGTGCCTACACCAGCAAGACCCTGGGTTTCCAGCACAAAACTAGGCGACCACTTGGGCAGACACTGAGTTAGCCTCAGGAGTTTTTTTTTTTTTTCATACCCCACTGGTGCGTGGAGCACCAGCGAGACACAACCATTCACTCCCCTGGAAAGGGGGCTGAAGCCAGGGAGCCAAGTGGTCTGACTCAGCGGATCCCTCCACCACGGGGCCAGCAAGCTGAGATCCACTGGCTTGAAATTCTCCCTGCTAGCACAGCAGTCTGAGCTCGACCTGAGACACACAAGCTTATTGTGGGGAGGGGCGTCCACCATTGCTGAGGCTTGAGTAGGCGGTTTTACCCTCACAGAGTGAACAAAGCCAGCAAGAAGTTCAAACTGGGCAAAGCCCAAAGCAACTCAGCAAAGCCACTGAGGCCAGACTGCCTCTCCTCTCTGGGCAGGGCATCTCTGAAGAAAAGGCAGCAGCCCCGTGAGAGACTTATAGATAAAACCTCCAACTCCCTGGGACAGCACGTGGGGGAAGGGGCGGTTGTAGGCACAGCATCAAGAAGACTCAAACATCCCTGCCTGGCAGCTCTGAAGGGAGCAGCAAAACTCCCAGAACAGCATTTGAACTCTGATAAGAAACAGACTGCCTTCTCAAGTGGGTCTCTGACCCTTGTTTATCCTGACTGGGAGATACCTCCCGGTAGGGGCCAACAGACTCCTCACACAGGAGAGCCCTGGCTGGCATCTGGCCGGTGCCCCTCTGGGATGAAGCTTCCAGAAGAAGGAACAGGAAGGAATCATTGCTGTTCTGCAGCCTCCACTGATGATACCCAGGCAAACAGGGTCTGGAGTGGACTTCAGCAAAATCCAGCAGACCTGCAGCAGAGGGGCCTGACTGTTAAAAGGAAACTGACAAACAGAAAAACAAGTATAAACATTAACAAAAGGACTTCCACCCAGATACCCCATCCGAAGGTCACCAACTTCAAAGACCAAAGGTAGATAAATCCACGAAGATGGGGAGAAACCAGCGCAAAAGGCTGAAAATTCCAAAAACTAGAATGCCTCTTCTCCAAAGGATCATAATTCCTCCCCAGCAAGGGAACAAAAATGGATGGAGAATGAGTTTGATGAACTGACAGAAGTAGGCTTCAAAAGGTGAGTAATAACAAACTCCTCCGAGCTAAAGGAGCATGTTCTAACCCAATGCAAAGAAGCTAAGAACCTTGAAAAAAGGTTAGACAAATGTCTAACTAGAGTAACCAGTTTAGAGAAGAACATAAATGACCTGATGGAGCTGAAAAACACAGCATGAGAGCTTTGTGAAGCATATACAAATATCAACAGCCGAATCAATCAAGCGGAAGAAAGGATATCAGAGATTGAAATTCAACTCAATGAAATAAAGTGACAAGACAAGATTAGAGAAAAAAAGAGTGAAAAGAAACTAACAAAGCCTCCAAGAAATATAGGACTATGTAAAAAGACCAAATCTACATTTGATTGGTGTACCTGAAACTGACTGGGAGAATGGAAGCAAGTTGGAAAACACTCTTCAGGATATTATCCAGGAGAACTTCCCCAACCTAGCAAGGCAGGCCAACATTCAAATTCAGGAAATACAGAGAACACCACAAAGTTACTCCTTGAGAAGAGCAACCCCAAGACACATAATCGTCATATCCACAAAGGTTAAAATAAAGGAAAAATGTTAAGGGCAGCCAGAGAGAGTGGTCAGGTTACCCACAAAGAGAAGCCCATCAGACTAACAGTGGCTCTCTCTGCAGAAACCCTACAAGCAAGAAAAGAGTGGGTGCCAATATTCAACATTTTTAAAGAAAAGAATTTTCAACCCATAATTTCATATCCAGCCAAAGTAAGCTTCAAAAGTGAAGAAGAATAAAATCCCTTACAGACAAGCAAATGCTGAGATTTTGTTACCACCAAGCCTGCCGTACAAGAGCTCCAGAAGGAGGCACTAAACCTGGAAAAGAACAACCAATACCAGCCCCTGCAAAAAAATACCAAATTGTAAAGAACATCAGCGATATGAAGAAACTGCGTCAACTCACTTGAAAAATAATCGGCTAGCACCAAATGGTAGGATCAAATTCACATGTAACAATATTAACCATAAATGTAAATGGGCTAAATGCCCCAATTAAAAGACACAGACTGGCAAATTGGATAAACAGTCAAGACCCATTGGTGTTCTGTATTCAGGAGACCCATCTCATGTGCAAAGACACACATAGGCTCAAAATAAAGGGATGGAGGAATATTTACCAAGCAAATGGAAAAAAAAAATGGGTTTCAATCCTAATCTGTGATAAAACAAACTTTAAACCAACAAAGATCAAAAGAGACAAAGAAGGGCATTACATAATTGTGAAAGAATCAGTGCAACAAGAGGAGATAACTATCCTAAATATATATGCACCCAATACAGGAGCACCTAGATTCATAAAGCAAGTTCTTAGTGACATACAGAAAGACTTAGACTCCCACACAATAATATTGGGAGACTTTAACACCCCAGTGTCAATATTAGACAGATCAATGAGACAGAAAATTAACAAAGATATCCAGGACTTGAACTCAGCTCTGGATCAAGCGAACCTAATGGACATCTTCAGATCTCTCCAGCCAAAATCAACAGAATGTACATTCTTCTTAGCACCACATAGCACTTAGTTTAAAATTGACCACATAATTGGAAGTAAAACACTCCTCAGCAAAGGCAAAAGAACGGAAATCATAACGAATAGTCTCTCAGACCACAGTGCAATCAAATTATTAGAACTCATGATTAAGAAACTCACTCAAAACCACACAACTACATGGAAACTGAACAACCTGCTCCTGAATGACTACTAGATAAATGATGAAATGAAGGGAGAAATAAAGATATGCTTTGAAACCAATGAGAACAAAGACACAACATACCAGAATACCTGGGACACATTTAAAGCAGTGTATAGAGGGAAATTTAAAGCACTAAATGCCAACAAGAGAAAGCAGTTAAGATCTAAAATGAACACCCTAGCATCACAATTAAAAGAACTAGAGAAGCAAGAGCAAACAAATTCAAAAGCTAGCAGAAGGCAAGAAATAACTAAGATCAGAGCAGAACTGAAAGAGATAGAAACATGAAAATCTCTTCAAAAAAGTCAATGAATCCAAGAGTTGGTATTTTGAAAAGATCAGCAAAATAGATACACTGCTAGCCAGACTAATAAAGAAGAAAAGAGAGAAGAATTAGATAGACGCAATAAAAAATGTTAAAGGGGATATCACCATCAATCCCACAGAAATACGAACTACCATCAGAGAATACTATAAACACCTCTATGTAAATAAATTACAAATTCTAGAAAAAAATGGATAAGTTCCTGGACACATACTCCATCCCAAGACTAAACTAGGAAGAAGTTGAATTCCTGAATAGACTAATAACAAGTTCTGAAATTGCGGCTGCAATTAACAGCCAGCCAACCAAAAAAATTCCAGGACTAGATGGATTCACAGCCGAATTATACCAGAGGTACAAAGAGGGGCTGGTACCATTCCTTCTGAAACTATTCCAAACAATAGAAAAAGAAGGACTCCTCCCTAACTCATTTTATGAGGCCAGCACCATCCTGATACCAAAACCTGGCAGATAAACAGCAAAAAATGAAAATTTCAGGCCAATATCCCTGATAAGCATTGATGTGAAGATCCTCAATAAGATACTGGCAAACTGAATCCAGCAGCACATCAAAAAGGTTATCCACCACAATCAAGCTGGCTTCACCCCTGGAATGCAAGGCTGATTCAACATAAGGAAATCAATAAACCTAATCCATCACATAAACAGAACCAATGACAGAAAAAAAAAAAAAAACACAGACATGATTATCTCAATAGATGCAGAAAAGGCCTTCAATAAAATTCAACAGCCCTTCATGCTAAAAACTCTCAAAAAACTAGGTATTGATTGAACATAACTCAAAATAGTAAGAGCTATTTATGACAAGCCCACAGCCAATATCATACCGAATGGGCAAAAACTGGAAGCATTCCCCCTGAAAACCGACACAAGACTAGGATACCTTCTCTCACCACTCCTATTCAAGATAGTATTGGAACTTCTGACCAGAACAATCAGACAAGAGAAAGAAATAAATTGTATTTAAGCAGGAAGAGAGGAAGTCAAATTGTCTCTGTTTGCAGATGACATGAGTCTATATTTAGAAAACCCCATAATCTCTGATCAAAATCTCCTTAAACTGATAAGCAACTTCAGCAAAGTCTCAGGATAGAAAATCAATGTGCAAAAATCACAAGCATTCCTATACAAAAAATGACAGAGAGCCAAATGGTGAGTGAACTCCCATTCACAATTGCTACAAAGAGAATAAAATACCTAGGAATAAAACTTACAAGGGATATGAAGGACCTTTTCAAGGAGAACTACAAACCACTGCTCAAGGAAATAAGAGAGGACACAAACAAATGGAAAAACATTCCATGCTCATGGATAGGAAGAATCAATATCTTGAAAATGGCCATGCTGCCCAAAATGATGTATAGATTTAATGCTATCCCCATCAAGCTACCATTGACTTTCCTTAAAGAATTGGAAAAAACTACTCTAAATTTTATATGGAACCCAAAAAAACTCACATAGACAAGACAATCCTAAGCAAAAAGAACAAAGCTGGAGTCATCATGCTACCTGACTTCAAATGACACTACATGGCTACAGTAACAAAAACAGCATGATACTGGTACCAAAACAGATATATAGACCAATGGAACAAAACAGAGGGCTCAAAAATAACACCAGACATCTACAACCATCTGATTTTTGACAAACCTGACAAAAACAAACAATAGGAAAGCATTCCCTATATAATAAATGGTGTTGGGAAAACTGGCTAGCCATTTCCAGAAAGCTGAAACTGGATCCCTTCCTTATACCTTATACAAAAATTAACTCAAGATGGAATAAAGACTTAAATGTATGACTTAGGACCATAAAAACCCTAGAAGAAAACCTAGGCAATACGATTCAGGGCATAGGAATGGGCAAAGACTTCATGACTAAAACACCAAAAGCAATGGCAGCAGAAACCAAAATAGACAAATGGGAACAAATTAAGCTAAAGAGCTTGCACACAGCAAAATAAACTATCATCAGAGTGAACAGGCAACCTACAGAATGGGGGAAAATTTTTGCAATCTATCCATCTGAAAAAGGGTTAATATTCAGAATCTACAAAGAACTTAAACAAATATACAAGAAAAAACAAACAACCCCATCAAAAAGTGGGCAAAGGAAATGAACAGACATGTCTCAAAAGAAGACATTTATGCAGTCAAGAAACATATGAAACAAAGCTCAGTTATCACTGGTCCTTAGAGAAATGCTAATCAAAACCACAATAAGATACCATCTCATGCCAGTTAGGATGGCGATCATTAAAAAGTCAGGAATCAACAGATGCTGGAGAGGATGTGGAGAAATAGGAATGCTTTTACATTGTTGATGGGAGTGTAAATTAGTTTAACTATTGTAGAAGACAGTGTGCCGTTTCCTCTAGGATCTAGAACTAGAAATACCATTGGACTCAGCAATCCCATTACTGGGTTTATACCCAAAGGATTATAAATCATTCTACTATAAAGACACATGCACACTTATATTTGTTGTGTCACTGTTTACAATTGAAAAGATTTGGAACCAACCCAAATGCTCATCACTGATAGACTGGATAGTGAAAATGTGGCACATATACACCATGGAATACTAAACAGCCATAAGAAAGGATGAGTTCATGTCCTTTGCAGAGACATGGATGAAGCTGGAAACCATCATTCTCAGCAAACTATCTCAAGAATAGAAAACCAAACACCGCATGTTCTCATTCATAAGTGGGAGTTGAACAATGAGAACACATGGACACAGGGAGGGGAACATCACACACCAGGGCCTTTCAGGGGGTTGGGAGGTAGTGGTGGGATAACATTAGGAGAAATACCTAATGCAGATGACGGGTTGATGGGTGCAGCAAACCACCATGGCACGTGTATACCTATGTAACAAACCTGCACGTTCATACATGTACCCCGGAACTTAAAATATAATAAAAAAGCATGCCTACAAGATTTACAAAATAGCCTCAAAAGTGCAAATCTGACAGTTATTGGTTTAAAAGGGGAGATTGAGAGAGAGAATGGCATAAAAAGTTTCTTCAAATAAAACATAACAACTTTGCAAAACTAGAGGAAGATATCAATATCCAAGTACGACAATATAATAGAACACAAAGCAGATTTAAATCAAATACAACTACCTCAAGACAGTTAATAATGAAACTCCCAAAGGTCAAGGTTAAAGAAAGGATCTTAAAAGCTTTTTAATAGGCTCCAATATTTCTGTTAGTAGACTTCTTAGTGGAAACCTGGCTAGCCAGAAGAGCATGGCATGATATATTCAAAGTGCTGAAGGAAAAAAAGGACAATTTTTTTTCCTACGATTTTATATCCAGAACAAAAAATCCTTATCACATGAAGGAGAAATAAAAACTTTCCAAGACAAACAAAAGCTGAGATAGTTTGATGCATACCAAACCTGTCCTACAAGAAATGCTTAAGTGAGTTCTTTGATCTGAAAGAAGAGTCATTAATGAGCAATAAGAAATCATATAAAGATACAAAACTCACTGGTAACAGTAAATAAACAGAAAAATACAGAATATTCTAACACTGTAATTGTGTTGTGTAGACCACTCATATCTTGAGTAGGAAGACTATGGACAAACCTATCAAAAATAATAGCTACAATTTTTTAAGAGATAGAGAGTATAAAAATATAAATAGAAACAACAAAAAAATTAAAAATCAGGGAAATGAACTTAAAGGGTACAGTTTGTATTAGTTTTTTTCCCCCCTTATGTTTCAGACTTTTCTTTTTTTATTATCATTATACTTTAAGTTCTAGGGTACATGTGCACAACGTGCAGGTTTGTTACATATGTATACATGTGCCATGTTGGTGTGCTGCACCCATTAGCTCATCATTTACATTGGGTATATCTCCTAATGCTTTCCCTCCCCCCTCTCCTCACCCCACAACAGGCCCTGGTGTGTGATGTTCCCCTTTCTGTGTCCAAATGTTCTCATTGTTCAATTCCCATCTATGAGTGATAACATGCAGTGTTTGATTTTTTTTCCTTGGGATAGCTTGCTGAGAATGATGGTTTCCAGCTTCATCCATGTCCCCACAAAGGACATGAACTCATCCTTTTTTATGGCTGCATAGTATTCCATGGTGTATATGTGCCACATTTTCTTAATCCAGTCTATCATTGATGGACATTTGTGTTGGTTCCAAGTCTTTGCTATTGTGAATAGTGCTGCAATAAACATCCGTGTGCATGTGCCTTTATAGCAGCATGATTTATAACCCTTTGGGTATATACCCAGTAACGGGATGGCTAGTTCTAGATCCTTGGGGAATTGCCATACTGTCCTCGACAATGGTTGAACTAGTTTACAGTCCCACCAACAGTGTAAAAGTGTTCCTATTTCTTCACATCCTCTCCAGCACCTGTTGTTTCCTGACTTTTTAATGATCACCATTCTAACTGGTGTGAGATGGTATCTCATTGTGGTTTTGATTTGCATTTCTCTGATGGCCAGTGATGATGAGCATTTTTTCATGTGTCTGTTGGCTGCATAAATGTCATGATCAAGTGGGCTTCATCCCGGGGATGCAAGGCTGGTTCAACATATGCAAATCAATAAACGTAATCCAGCATATAAATAGAACCAAAGAGGAAAACCACATGATTATCTCAATCGATGCAGAAAAGGCCTTTGACAAAATTCAACAGCCCTGTCCAGGCGCAGTGGCTCAAGCCTGTAATCCCAGCACTTTGGGAGGCCGAGGTGGGTGGATCACAAGGTCAGGAGATCAAGACAATCCTGGCCAACATGGTGAAGCCCCATCTCTACTAAAAATACAAAAAAATTAGCTGGGTGTGATGGCAGGCACCTGTAGTCCCAGCTACTCTGGAGGCTGAGGCAGAAGAATGGCATGAATCCAGGAGGCAGAGTTTGCAGTGAGCCAAGATTGCGCCACTGCACTCCAGCCTGGGCGACAGAGCAAGACTCAGTCTCAAAAAAAAAAAAAAAAAAAAAAATTCAACAGCCTTTCATGCTAAAAACTCTCAATATATTAGGTATTGATGGGATGTATCTCAAAATAATAAGAGCTATTTATGACAAACCCACAGCCAATATCATACTGAATGGGCAAAAACTGGAAACATTCGCTTTGAAAACTGGCACAAGACAGGGATGCCCTCTCTCACCACTCCTATTCAACATAGTGTTGGAAATTCTGGCCAGGGCAATCAGGCAGGAGAAAGAAATAAAGGGTATTCAATTAGGAAAAGAGGAAGTCAAATTGTCCCTGTTTGCAGATGACATGATTTTATATTTAGAAAACCCCATCATCTCAGCCCAGAATATCCTTAAGCTGTATTAGTTTTACCTTAAATTAAAATATACTACTAGAGCAAATTACTTTTAGACAAAGAAATACAGGTAAGAAAAAGGTAGAGAGGATCATGAAGCAACCAGAAAACAACAAACTGGCAGTAGTAAGTCCTTACCAATTAATAATAGCATTGAATGTAAAGGGACTAAACTTCCCATCAAAAGGCATAGGGTGGCAGAATATGTTTTAAAAAACCAATAAAATATAATATAATAAATTATCTGCTACCTATAAGAAACTCACTTCACCTATAAAGACACATGTAGGCTAAAAACAAAGGGATGAGAAAAGATATTTTATGCAAATGGACACTAAAGAAGAGCAGGAGTAGCTATTATCAAATCAGATAAAATAGATTTAAAGATAAAACTATAAAAAATACAAGGAAGGACATTATGTAATGATAAACGGGTCAATTCATCAGGAGGTTACAACAGTTTTATTTATGCACCTAACACTGGACCACAAATATATTTATAAAGCAAATATTACTAGAAGTAAAGAGAGAGATAGGCCCTCATACAATAATAGCTTGATACCTCAACATTCTACTTTCAGCATCAGACAAACCATCCAGAGAGAAAATCAACAAAGGAACATTGGACATATTCTGCACTATAAACTAAATGCACCTAATAGATATTTACAGAATCTAACAGCTGTTGTATACACATTCTTTTCCCCAGTAAGTGGATTATTCTCAAAGATAGACCATATATTAAGCCACAAAATGAGACAGAAAACTAAAAAAAAATTCAAATCAAAATAAATTAAAGTCTTAAATGAAACACCTGAAATTATGAAACTACTGAAGGAAAACTTTGGGGAAATTCTCCACGACATTGGTCTGGACCAATATTTCTTGAGAAATACCACAAAAGCACAGGCAACTGAAGCAGAAATGGACAAATGGGATCACAGAAAGGTAAAAAGCTTCTGTGCAGCAAAGGAAGCAATCAGCAAAATGAAGAGACAATGCACAGAATAGTAGTAAATATTTGCAAACTACCCATCTGACAAGGAATTAATAAATAATATATAAGGAGACCAAAAACTCAACAGAAAAAAAATCAAATAATATGATTTTAAAATGTATAAAAGATCTGATAGGCATTTCTCAAAGGAAGACATACAAATAGCCAACAGGCATAAAAAAATATGCTCAACATCATTAGTCATCAGAGAAAGTGCAAATAAAAATTACAATGATATTAATCTCATACCAATTAAAACTGTTTTTCCCCAAAGACAGGCAATAATAAATGTTAGTGGGATTGTGAAGAAATGGAAAACTTCGTACATTGTTGGTGGGAATGTAAGTAAGTACAGCTACTATGGAATGTAGTACAGAGGTTCCTCAAAAAACTAAAAATAGAACTGCCACGTAATCTAGCAATTCCACTACTAGTTAATATAATCAAAAGCAAGAAAATCAGTATATCAAAGCTATATCTGCACTCCCATGTTTATTGCAGCATTATTCACATTAGGCAAGATTTAGAATCAACCTAAGTGTTTATCAACAGATAAATCAATACAACACGTGGTACATATATGCAATGAAATATTATTCAGCCATAAAAAGGCATAATATCGTATCATTTGCAACAACATAAATGGAACTAGAGGGCATAATATTAAGTAAAATGAGCTAGGCACAGAAACACTCATTTTGCATGTCCTCGCTCATACGTGGGAGCTAAAAATAACAAAAATAGAACTAATAGAGATGGAGAGTAGAATGATGCTTACTAGAGGCTGGGAAGGGAAGAGAGGAAGTGGGGAGAAGTGGTGATAATTACTGAGTGCAGAAATACATCTAGATAAATTAAATAATATCTAGTATTTCATAGCAAAATAGAGTGACTATAGTAAGCAATAATTTCTTTTATATTTAAAAATAACTAAAAGAGTGGAATTTGAATATTCCTAACACAAAAAAGATAAATGTTCAAGGTGAGGGATATCCCAATTACCCTGATATGATCATTACAAATTGTGTGCCTGTATCAGAACATTACATATAACTCATAAATATATGCATGTATCATGTACCCATAATAACTAAAAAAAAGAAATTTTAAAGATTTTAGGGATTTTTAAATGAGTGATATAAAAAGATGAAAAGTAAAGCAGATAAAGAGAAAAGCGGTATATTTTTATAATATATTTAATAATTTATTATATATTCAATATATTATGTATTAAATTTATTATATATTCAATTATATACTTAATTATTTATTATATACTCACTATATTGTACATATCCACTTTATTGTGTATACATAATGTATATAATATCACATATATATCATATAGATATAATTTGGGCCTAAGTTGCCTTCTTAGATTCATTTTCATTGTTTATAATTACTAAATATTAATACTCTTTTATAATACAGAAAGGCACTTTTGCACACTAATTTTATTAAATGTGCATCAGGTATATGTATTCATGTTACTATGATACATCTTGTCAAGTGGGGAAAAACCCAGCATAGGTTATCTTTATTACTGATTACAACTAAAAACTTTGGTCAACAACCTGAGGACTCTGAATGGTAAAGCAATACAACCAGGTTGAGACACAAAGTCAAAAGTTAAAGTGACCTGTATGGGTTGCATGTAAGTATGAGTTTGCTTGCATGCTCTATCTCACACACTGTCTCTCTCTCTTTCTCTCTCTCTCATCATATGTATGTGAATTTGATTATTTGCATAAAGCACAGCATGAATAATTATTTGCCACATAAGATCCTTTTTATATTGACTTTGAAGGAACTTTGTTCTATCTCAGAAAAGACTTTTTAAAGCCTTAAGCCTAGTCATGGTTTATTTGTGTCATTAAATTCCTTTGTGAGTCAGATATATTCCTCTCCACTTGAGGTCTCAAGACAACGTGGGGCTCCTCAGCTTGTTAGAAAGTTACATTCTATTGCCCAGAACCAGTCTCAAAAAATAAAAAGAAAAAAGAGAAAATTTACCTTCTTTATTTGCCACAAGTAAGGAACTCTGTACAAGGACTGTATAGACAAGGTATGATGTCAGTTTCCCCAAAAGGCTTTCATTGGCTGTATAAGTCAAATTGTATTTCTTAAAGGAAAGCATGCCATTCCAATCAAAGCCTTGGTAAAATAACCAGTATCTCCAATTGTGTCCTTTTGCAAAAGAAAACATTCTTTTTTTAAAAAAAATATGGAATGCTTCATGAATTTGCATGTCATCCTTGTGCAGGGGCCATGTTTATGTCTGTATCCGTCCAATTTTAGTATGTATGTTGCCAAAGTGAGCACAGAAAACAGATTCTTATCACACTTATGCAAATAAATATATTGCCATAAGTTAAGAATACTCAAAAATAGTTTCCAAATTCTGGAGAAATCAGATAGAGAGAAATATGTTCCAAATTTTATTTATAGGATTATACTTTATTCAATTGTTCAAAGCTGTAAAAAGCTCAAAAGTTTTCTTCACTTTAAAAAAATGAAGAACTAGCAACGTTTTAAGCAGAGCCATAAAAGGATTATTTTAGTCTTCTATTAGTTCAGTCCATGTAGTCAACTACAGTTTTGCTAGAATTCATAAACATTTCAGCTCTCCATGGGAGTCCTGAAAGTTTTTCCTCTTTTCTAATGTCACAACATCCGAAGTTATCAGAAACGTGCATTTAAGAGCACCTGTTAGAGTCCTTTAGATTATAAAACCTTTTAAAGAGGATTAACATAAAACAATAATTGTCTGTGGATCACAAAAAGTCTTAGGGCAGCCACAGTTAAAGGCATAATTGACAAAGAAATTGATTACCTCTGTGGCACACAATAATTTAACATAACAATTATAATTATTAGCATATGCCAAAAACACATTTATAGAAATACAGTCCAAAAAATGCCATATTTTACCTCTGCATTAGTGTAGTATTGATGTCAAACCAAATTCTTGATAAAACATTATAGATAAATATATCCAATCTTAATTAGTTTGACCATAAAGTAAGATTCTCATAAACCTTTTATAATTTTTTTTACAATTTTTTTAATGAAAAGTTCAATGCTTTAATACAAGCTTATCCAACCCATGGCCTGTGTACTGCATGTGGCCCAAGACATCTTTGAATGTGAACCAACACAAATTCATAAACTTTTTAAAAACATTATAATTTTGGGGGGGACTTTTTTTTTAGCTCATCAGCTAACATTAGTGTTAGTAGTTTTGTGTGTGTGTGTGGCCAGAGACAAGGCTTCTTCTTTCAATATGGCCCAGGAAGCCAAAAGATTGGCCACCCCTGCTCTAATAAAACTCTGTTGTGCTTTCATTCAAATATTATATTTATGAAGAAAACTGAATAATACTTCTTTATAGTTGATATGTTCACACACAGAATTTCTTTTACAAGGTTAATCTTTTGTGAACCTTCCACAACTTTCTTAAATGTTCAGCTTTATCCTATCTAACTTAAAACAATCCTTTAACCTTCTAAACTAGGCAAAATAGTTCACATTTCCTGCCTTTTTATAACATTTTACTAAAAACATGTTCTTGTTTCCTTACATAACTTGCATGTAAAACTGTTTTTCCAGTAGTCTTGAGTACATGTTATACTATTAACTTTTAGCAGCTTTTACTTTTGGTGAAAAACCTGGTAAATAGTGATTCTAATTATGTACTAGGTCTGGAGCCTAGGACACCCAGCAGTGCAGGTAAGGCCTGACCTTTTCTAGCATAGCAAGGAGGCATGGCTAACTCTGTATGTTCCAAAGCCTTACCTATCTTTAAAGTAGGCAAGTTGTACAGTTAAGGATCATAGTAGCAATCTATGACATTAAAGCTTTTAGTAGACCTAATACCTTTTAAAACTGTACATTGTTAATAAATTTCCTTTCATGAATTTTTATGACTTACACAGATCATCTATGACATGCTTTGACTTTCTGACTTTTCTTATCTTTTCAAACAACCAGTCATTTTACTTTAGGGCAAGGATTTAACATATAGGATGCTTTGTCACACAAAATCTCTTCCTTTTATAATATTCGTTACCAAATGGGATTCTGGAATAAACTGATCTTACTGTTTACACCACATCTTGCCTTCATCTCTGATATGGTAATCTGCTAGGCAGGGACCACACTTCTTCTCTGTCCGATGGGTCTCTTGTTCTTAAGGTCTTGGGCTAGCCTATATTCTTGTCTCCATGACCTTATAGTGACTCTTTCAAGGAGCATTTTAGCAACAAAATGTTTATATCTTTTCTTATAATCTTGTATCATGTGTTCTTTAAATCAATGAGAAGATGATTTTTCAGGTAACTGCTGCAAAAGAGCTAAACTTCCTTCCCTTGCAATATGACCCTGAAGGTCCTGATACATATTGAGAAGGGTTTGGAAGTGATTAGAAGAAATGGCTCTTACAGGAGGAAGTGAGATGAAGCTATAGGAATACTCATGGAAAGCCTTTATATGCTTGCAAAAAACAGTAGGCCTTGGATTTGAGAGGGCAATGTTTATTTGCCCTCTCGACATAAAGAAGTAACCTCCAGAAGACTTTGGACTTGGGAGAAAAACTTGCAAATGGAAAAGAAACAATTTCCCCTCCTCCAAAAAAGGAGCTAACACATAACTCATAAAGGAAACTAAGTGGGATCTTTAAACGACCAGTGTGAGATACTATGATGCAGCACACTGCTTCAAAAGCCACGGGAAAACTCAGCCCTGGGGCATAGCATGAACAAAAAGCATATGGTAAGTCGCAAGAAGCTGGCAGAGCTGGGGTTCTAATTAGTGTGTTTTTAAGAAGTCACAAGGCCTGTGAAGTGAAAGCAAAGAGGCAGACTTGCCTGTGGGGTGGATGGTCTTGTGGGTGCACAAGACCATTTTAAAATACACACAGAGAAAACAGGAGAATAGATGGTACTAGTTTGTAAAAAAAAAAGCTGATGTTAGTTGTGAAAGGAGAGGAAACTTACAATCATGATAGAAGACATCTCTTAAGGAAGCAGGAGAGAGAATGAGTGCTAGCAGGGGAAATGCCAGATGCTTATAAAACCATCAGATTTTGTAAGGACTCACTCACTATCACGAGAACAGCATGGGGGAAATGTCCCCATGATTCAATTATCTCCCACGGGTCCCTCTCCTGACACGTGGGGATTATGAGATTATAGTACAAGATGAGATTTGAGTGGACACACAGAGCCAAACCATATCATTCTGCCCCTGGCCCCTCCCAAATCTCATGTCCTCATGTTTCAAAACACAATCATTTCTTTCGAGCAGTGCCCCCAAATTCTTAGCTCATTCCAGCATTATCTCAAAAGTCCACATCCAAAGTCTCATCTGAGACCATGAAAGTCCCTTCCACCTATAAGCCAGTAAAATCAACAGCAAGTTAGTTGCTTCCTAGATACAATGAGGGTACAGGCATGGGGTAAATACACCTGTTCCAGTTGGGATAAATTGGCCAAAAGAAAGGGGCTATAAGCCCCAGGCAAGTCTATAATCCAATAGAGTAGTGTTAAACCTTAAAGTTCCAAGGTGATCTCCTTTGACTTCATTTCTCACAACCAGGTCACTCTGATGCAAGAGGTGGGCTCCCACAGCCTTGGGCAGCTTCATGCCTTTGGCATTGCAGGGTACGGCCCCACTCCTGGCTGCTTTCATTGGCTGGTATTTAGTGTCTGCGGCTTTTCCGGGTGCATGGTAGAAGCTGTCAATGGATTTATCATTCTGGAATCTGGAGGACAATGACCCTCTTCTCAGAGCATCACTAGGAAGTGCCCCAATGGGGATGCTTTGTGGAGGCTTGGACCCCACATTTCCCTTCCACACTGCCCTGGCAGTTGTTCTCCATGAAGGCATCACCCCTGCAGCAAACTTCTGCCTGGACATACAGGCTTCCCCTACATCCTCTGGAATCTAGGTGGAGCTTCCCAAACCTCAATTCTTGTCTTCTGCACACCCACAGGCAAGACTGACACCAAGTAGAAGCTGCCAAGGCTTGAGGCAGGCACCCTTCAATGCAATGGCCTGTGCTGTACCTTGGGTTTTAGCCATGGCTGGAGTGTCTCGAATGAAGGGCACCAATTCCATTTTTTCCCTCCTATGGCTCCAGGCCCGTTAGGAGAGGGGCTGCCACAAAGGTCTCTGACATATCATGGAGACATTTATCTAATTGCCTTGGTGATTAACATTTGGCTCCTTATTACTTATGCAAATTTCTGCAGGTGGCTTGAATTTCGACTCAGAAAATGGATTTTTTTTCTATTGCATCATCAGACTGAAAATCTTTCAAACTTTTATGCTCTGCTTCCTCTCAAATGCTTTCCTACTTAGAAATTTCTTCTGTCAGATACCCTAAATCATCTCTTTCAAGTTCAAATTTCCACAGATCTCTAGGGCAGGGGCTAAATGTCACCATTCTCTTTCCTAAAGCACAGTAAGAATCACCTTTATTACAGTTTCTAACAAGTTCTTCATCTACATCTGAGACAACCTCAGCCTGGACTTAATTGTCCATATCATTATCAGCAATTTGGTCAAGCCATTCAGCAAGTATCTAGGAAGTTCCAAGCTTTTTTGCATCTCTCTGTTTCTGGAACCTTCCAAGTCTCTAGGAAGTTCCAAACTTTTCTACATTCTTCTGTCTTCTTCTGAGCCCTCCAAACTGTTCCCTCCAAACTGAGCCCTCCAAAGAGCCCTCTGCCTGTTACCCACTTCCAAAGTCATTGCCACATTTTTGGGTATCCTTACAGCAGCACCCCACTCCCTCAGGACCAATTTACTGTATTAGTCCATTTTCACACTACTGTGAAGAAATACCTGAGACTGGGTAATTTATGAAGAAAAGAGGTTTAATTGACACTCAGTTCTGCATGGCTGGGGAGGCAACAGGAAACTTAAAGTCATGGTGGAAGGCACCTCTTCACAGGGCATAAGGAGAGAGAATGAGTGCTAGAAGGGTAAATGCCAGATGCTTATAAAACCCTCAGGTTTCATGAAAACTTATCATAAGAACAGCATGGAGGAAACTGCCCTCATGGATCAACCACCTCTCACCAGATTTCTTCCACACACATGAGGATTACAACATTACAATTCAAGATGAGAATTGGGTGGAGACACAGAGCCAAATCATGTTATTTGTTTTGCTTTAATGTGTTTATTATTGTGACTAATACTGCTATGAATGTCAGTATTTTTTTTCTTCTTGTGGACCAGTGCTTTTACTTATCTTGAACAAATATCTCTAAATTTTCTGGTTGTATAATAAAAAGCTTGTTTATCTTAAGTGGCTGTATCAATTTTTATTTTTACCAGCAATGGATTTCTCCTAGAGTAAGCATTCCAAGAGGCTTAGATGGGATGTTTCTATATTTAGCCTTGGAATACCCAGAATACTTGTTCCATAATGTATTACTTAAACAAGGTATTCGGGTGGGATTAATCAAACTAGAATTCTAAAACAAAAAAAGAAAAAAGTTCAAGCAACACACAGGAAAGGCTAGAAAAATACAGGAAAGGCTACTAAAAATACAAAAATTAGCTGGATGTGGTGGTGCGTGCCTGTAATCCCAGCTACTCAGCAGGCTGAGGCAGGAACCATGGTTATATCTACTGTACATCCTTGACTGAGATGGCTTATGTTGTCTATGACATGGTACACAAACACACCACACACACAGGCACACAGACATTCTACACACACAACACACACACACCCATCCTATTAGTTCTTTTTTTCTGAATAATTCTGACTAACGCAACCATTTTGTCTCATTTTTTTTTCTAATTTTTTAACATAATCAGATTCATGGGCTCACTGTTAAAATTAAAATTCATCTTCTCCAATTGCTCCTTCTCAACTCCCTTAATAGAAATGCAGGCTCACGAGGGCCCCACCCTAAACTATCTTTGATTTTTAATTTCTTATAGTTAATCTGAACATTCTTATTTTATTGCCTTTATTTATTATTGCATGTTAGATACGAAAAGGATCTATTTCTAGCACTCACATATATTGAGCTCTTGTCATTGGGTCTGTTTAGTGAAAATACTTCATTTCAAGAATCTCTTTTCTGCTGCTGTCCTTAAAGAAATAAAAAGTAAAAGTGAATCTTATTTTGTGTCCCCTCCAACTGTTTTTAAAGCTTGATTTTCAAAACACATTTGCCTCTAATAATTTCATTTAATAGATTTTGAATCTGTACTTGTGTGTATTATAGGCAGCTCAGATTAGACCTCATTTTTTGCTGATTCTGTGAATTGCTAGCCCTTGTCCTACATTTTCAATTAAGATTAATGATACCACCTATTTATGTGATAGCAGCCTTAAAAGTTTCTATGACTTGCCATTCTCTCTCTCCTCTTTCATCTCTATGCTCTTATTGCCAAATAAAAATGAAAAAGGGCAGACTACTACTAAATGCAACAACCAGAACTAATGTCACCAATATTGTCTAAGCAAAAGGACCTAGATAAAAAGTACTGCATAATATGCACAGCGATTTATATACATTGCATAAAATATATCTATGGTGATATGTCAGCAATGGTGAACATTGAAAGGATATTGACTATAACGATTCTTGAGAAAGGTTTACAAGATGCTGGTAATATTTGACGTCTTGATTTGGACAATGAATACATAGGTCTATTAACATTACATAATTGTCAAATTTTGGCTAGATAGTGTAGCATATTAATCACAATTATTTTAAACTCCGTGTATGAAATTTCTCACTTCTGGGGCTTTTTAGTTATGATTCTGTAGACAATTTATCTTTTTGTCTCCTTGCTTTCTCGGATTGTTTCAGAATTTTTGACTGAATGTTGTATATTTTGTACAGAAGAGTCAAGACTAAGATAAATATTACTTTAATAGGTACTCTTTTTCTCTTATATACATTAACATGAAATGTTGAGTCTATTTAGTCAGTGGTTAAGGTGAGTTTGAGTTCTCTTACTGGCCCAGTTACCTTCCGAGTGGCCCAAGATGGCTCATAGATCAATCAGGTAGCCAGCTGTTTTTGGAAAGAAGAATTGGAATACTTAATAGAAAAGGCTACAAGCTGGGTACCAATGTGTGTGACCACACACCAGGCAGAGGAGGACACTTGTTGTTCCATGTTGCTATATTAATATTTTCTTGGTGTGAATGGGTACATGGGTTTTGGGAATGAGAAGTGGTCTGAAGTAATTGGGGAAGACTGTGCATTGGGCATTTGTCTCACTGTTGCTCCTCTCTACTCCCTTTTAAAGAAAATGTATAAATACTAAATCTCCTAAGAACCTCTTCGGAAAAAAAAGCCACAGATGCTTCTGTGATCCACAATTTTCTGGGTGTGGCCTCAAATTGGGTCAATAAACCTCAGTGATTTGAGACTCTTGCCTCAATTACTCAATTTGGTTGTCAAAACTTTCCAAGACTAAATATGATTGTTTAATTTCACATTTTTTATTTCCATAATCATTGAATAATTTGGGACACTTGTATTTCTTTTGTTATCTGTCTCATATATATATTTCCTATATATGGGAGAATTAGATGTATATAAATTTTCTATTTTATTACCATATTCTTAAGCTTTTTATAACAATTCAATATATCAAAGATATTAAAACTTAAACTACAATATATGTATCTATCATTTACAATTTGTAATTTTCTTTTCAAATTTAGTGTGTTTGATGTTTTTGAAACATAGACATTGCAAAATATAATAATTTAATGTTTTATAAGTTTAGAATTTATGTCAGAAATTGTCTACCAACTATTTACATATGAATTATGTTATATTAATTGTATGTAATTTTTAAATTTAATGTTTTATTTCATAAGATCTTATCTATTTTTATAATATTTTTCCAAATAATTTATATATATATTTATATAAATATATATACTCTATGGAATCTTTCTAGCCACATCAGAGCTATTCAGAGCTTAAACTAAACCTTTGAGTATTATTTGGTTTTACGATAAACATTTATTTAGTCTTTTATTGAACATTTGTAACCATTTTTGATAAATGCCAAGGAGTGCAAATGCTCAGTCACAGGATATGTCTATGTGGTGTTTCGGTAGGTTTTAGCAAATTTGTTTTCCAAGTGATTGTATACTCCCACTACCTGTGTATTTCCAGTGTCTTTTCAAATTTTAAATACTCATTTAAAACATATTTTAAATGCAAAGATACATTATAGTAGTTATTTTAATAAGTATATAATATTTATTTGAATTTATGACTTTCCCCAGCAGTATTCCAAATACTTGAAGTTACACTCAAAGATTATTATTATACCTTATCTTGAATAGTCAATAAATAAACTAATCTTTTCCATTAAAATGCTAAGAGGAAAATTCAACAAGCTGATGTCTTCAGGATTGCATGAGCTTCTGTCACTTTTTGGAGGGTGAGTCTATCCATATTTGTGTGTGTGTGCCATCCTCTGATACTTTTGTACATTCAAATCCATCTTATCTCCAATACTTTTGTTTACTACAATTTTTAAATTGTTAACTCTTTCTTCCCCCACCCCTACTTCTGTACTTGCTCTGTTACCCTCTGCATTAGTCTGTTTTAATGCTTCTAATAAAAACATACCTGACACTGGGCAATTTACAAAAGAAAGAAGATTAATTGGACTCACAGTTCCACATGGCTGGGGAGGCCTCCCAATCATGGTGGAAGGCAAGAGGAGCAAGTCACGTCTTACATGGATGGCAGGAGGCAAAAAGGCAGCTTGTGCAGGGAAGCTCTCCTTTTTAAAACCATTGAATCTCATGAGACTTATTTGCCACCACAAGAAAAGCAAGGGAAAATACTGCCCCCATGATTCAATTACCTCCTACCAGGTCCCTCCAACAACACATGGGAATTCAAGATGAGATTTCAATGGGGTCACAGACAAATCTCATGTCCTCACATTTAAAAACCAATCATGCCTTCCCTAAAGTCCCCCAGTGTCTTAACTCATTTCAGCATTAACTCAAAAGACCACAGTCCAAAGTCTCATCAAGACAAGGCAAGTCCTTTCTGCATATGAGCCTGTAAAATCAAAAGTAAGTTAGTTACTTCCCAGACCCTGTAGGGGTACAGGCATTGGGTAAATACTGCAATTCCAAATGGGAGAAATTGGCCAGACAAAGGGGACTCAGGCCCCATGCAAGTCTGAAATCCAGCAGAGTAGTCAAATCTTAAAGATCCAAAATGATCTCCTCTGACTCCATGACTCACGTTCAGGTCACGCTGATGCAAGATGTAGGCTCCCACAGCCTTGGGCAGCTACACCTTTGTAGCTTTGCAGGGTATAGCCCCACTCTTGGCTGCTTTCACAGGCTGACATTGAGTGTCTATGGCTTTTCCAGGCACATGGTGCAAACTGTAAGTGGATCTACTATTCTGGGGTCTGGAGGAAGGTGACTCTCTTTCCACAGCTCCACTAGGAGGTGCTCCACTAGGGACATTGTGTGGGGACTCTGACAACATTTCCCTTTCAGACTGCACTAGCAGAGATTCTCTATGAGGGCCCTTCCCCTGCAGCAAACCTCTGCCTGAGTATCCAGGTGTTTCCATACATCCTCTGAAATCTAGGTGGAGGTTCCCAAACCCCAATTCTTGACTTCTGTACTCTTGCAGGCTCAACACCGCATGGAAACTGCCAAGGCTTGGGGCTTGTACCCTTTGTAGCATGGCTCAAGCTCTATGTTGGCCCCTTTCAGCCCTGGCTAGAGTGACTGGGATGCAGGGCCCCAAGTCCCTAGGCTGCACACAGCACAGCGACCCTGGGCCCAGCTCATGAAACCATTTTTTTTTGTCTCCTTAAGCCTCCAGACCTGTGATGGGAAGGGTTGCTGTAAAGACCTCTGACATGCCCCCTGGAGACATTTTCCCCATTGTCTTGGTGATTAACATTTAGCTTAGTTACTTATGCAAATTTTTGCAGGCTGCTTGAATTTCTTCATAGCAAATGGGATTTTCTTTTTTATCACATTGTCATCCTGCAAATTTTCTGAACTTTTATGCTGTTTCTCATTTAAAACCGAATGCCTTTAACAGCACCCAAGTCACCTGTGGAATGCTTTGCTGCTTAGAATTTCTTTTGCCAGATACCCTAAACCATCTCTCTCAAGTTCAAAGTTTTACACATTTCTAGGATCAGAACAACATGCCACCAGTCTGTTTGCTAAAACATAACAGGAGTCACCATTGCTCTGGTTCCCAAGAAGTTCCTCATCTCCATCCAAGACTACCTCAGCTGGATTTTATTGTTCATATTATTATCAGTATTTTGGCTAATGCCATTCAACAAGTCTCTAAAAAGATCCAAACTTTCCCACATTTTCCTGTCTTCTTCTGAGTTCTCCAAATTGTTCCAACATCTTCCTGTTACCCAGTTCCAAAGTCACTTTCACATTTTTGGGTATCTTTTCAGTAATACCCCACTTTACTGGTACCAATTCACTGTATTAGTCTGTTTTCATGCTGCTTATGAAGACATACCCAAGAATGGGAAATTTACAGAAGAAAGATGTTTAATTGGGCTGATGGTTCCATGTGGCTGGGGAGACCTTGCAATTATGGCAGAAAGCAAAGAGTGGCAAGTCATGTCTTACATGGATGGCTGCTGGCAAAAAAGAGAGCTTATTCAAGCAAACTTCCCTTCTTAAAACCATCAGATTTCATGAGACTTATTCATTCACTATCACAAGAACAGCATGGGAAAGACCTGCCTCCATGATTCAATTACTTCCTAATGGATCCCTCCCAAAACACATGGGAATTCATGATGGTATTTGGCTAGGGACACAGCCAAACCATATTACCCGCTGAAATCCTTCGTCGTAAACACTCCTACATAAGCATTCCTTTGATTAAGTATTCTGCTCCACCATGTCCTGATGTTTCTTATGTTAAACTTGGTGCTTCTTATACAAACTCTCCTTGTGAATACTTTCTCCCTTGTGAAATACTCAGCTAAATACTGCTTATTTTTATAAGTGTGGTGAGTCTAGAGTCTGGATCAACATTATTTCCTTTTCTATTCACTCATTCAAATAACTAGGGTTCTATTGTTATCCAGAATTCTATTTTGAAAGTTATACTATCTTATTCTTCCTCTTTTTGAACCCACAATTACTGGCATCTAGGAACTCCACACTGTCCTTTGGTCTTCTTTATTTCACATTATTTTTTATTCAACCAGGGAACAACATATATCTCTATCTTATCATCACCTTTTCCATTACAAATATTTTTCCTTCGGATACTTGTATATAATTATTCTTAATTTTGAATCAATGCTTTTTTTTACTGTTATATATAACTTCTGAGAAGCTCTATGTAAAATTACATAGCCCAAAAGATTGTGACCATTGTAAATTTATGGCTTGTAAACTCAGTATGGAAGGAAGTCTCTTTAAGTGTGGGCAAACTTGCTTCCTCACACCATACAACATCTATTAAAAACTTATATCTTGGTGGGGTGCAGTGGCTCATGCCTGTAATACCAGCACTTTGGGAGGCTGAGGCGGGTGGATCACGAGGTCAGGAGATCAAGACCATCCTGGCTAATACAGTGAAACCCGGTCTCTACTAAAAATACAAAAAATTAGCCGGGCGTGGTGGCAGGCACCTGTAGTCCCAGCTGCTCGGGAGGCTGAGGCAGGAGAATGGGGTGAACCTGGGAGGCAGAGCTTGCAGTGAGCTGAGATTGCACTACTGCACTCCAGCCTGGGCAACAGAGTGAGACTCTGTCTCAAAAAAAAAAAAAACACACACACACACAAAAAACAAGTTATATCTTGTCTTCCCCAATTCTTTGGCGTCATTTCATTTTTTTTTTTAAAGCCAACAAATGCCCTTTGCAAACAATACATAGAGAAAATTGAGGCTGGATTAGGGAGCAAGATAATGTCTAAATCAGTACTATCCTGGAATATTTCCCTGTACAATGTTTCCCTGTACAACCACTCTTCATTATAATTGCCTTTGCTCAGAGGATCTGGACTATGGCAGAATTTGAGATACACATTGAAAATGATCCCATAACAACAGACACATTTTATCATCCTTGAGCGAGTATTTTCAATTGTCACTTTTCTTCATGCTTTTCTACATGAATTATTTAAAATGTATTGAGACACTTTAATTAATATTTTCCTTAGGGCTTCATCCTTTTGCATTTATTTAGACAGCCTTACCCCAATGCTGTGTATTAAGCTTTCTCTTTTTTCAGTTTTTGGTATAGTCTTATTTATTTATTCACATATTCATTTATATATTTTGTTGTTTGCCATTTTCTTTTTTTTTTCAACTTTTACTTTAAGTTTAGGTGTACATGTGCAGGCTGTGCAGGCTGTCACATAGGTAAATGTGTGCCATGGTTTGCTGCACAGACTATCCCATCACCTAGGTATTAAGCCCAGCATTTGTTAGCTACTCTTCCTCATGCTCCCTTCCTGATCTGATAGGCCCCAGTGTTTGTTGTTCCCCTCCATGTGTCAATGTATTCTCATTCTTCAGCTCCCACTTATATGTGAGAACATGCTGTGTTTAGTTTTCTGTTCCTGTATTAGTTTGTTGAGGATAATGGCTTCCAGCTCCAAACATGTCCCTGCAAAGGACATAACCTGGTTCCTTTTTATGGCTGCATATTATTTCATGGTTTAGATTTCTTTATCAAGTCTATCATTAATAGGCATTTAAGTTGATTCCACATCTTTGCTCCTGTAAATAGTGCTACAAAGAACATATGCAAGCATGTATCTTTGTAATAGAATGATTTATATTCCTTTGAGTATATACCTAGTAATGGGATTGCTGAGTCAAATGGTATTTCTGCCTCCAGGTCTTTGAGAAATTACTACATTGTCTTCCAAAATGGTTGACCTAATTTACTCTTCCACCAACAGTATAAAAGTATTCCTTTTTCTCTGCAACCTTGCCAGCAACTGTTGTTTCTGGACTTTTTAAATAATCACGATTCTGACTGGTGTGAGATGATATCTCATTTTGATTTTTTGTTTTTTCATTTCTCTAATTAGCAGTGATGTTGAGACTTTTTCTACATATGTGTTTGCAGTATGTATGTTTTTTTTAGAATTGCCTGTTCACTTCCTTTGCCTACCTTTTAATGTTAATTTTTATAGTAAATTTGTTTAAGCTCTTTGTAGGTTTTTCCCATTCTGTAGGTTGTCTGTTCACTCTGATGATAGTTTATTTTGCTGTTCAGAAGCTCTTTAGTTTAATTAAATTCCAATTGTCAATTTTTGCTTTTGTTGTAATTGCTTTTGGCAATTTCATCATGAAAGCTTTGCCTGTGCCTATGTTCTAAAAGGTATTGCTTAGATTTTCTTCTATAGTTTTTATAGTTTTGGATTTTATATTTACTTTTTGTATATGGTGTAAGGAAGGAGTTCAGTTTCAATTTTCTGCATATGGCTAGCCAGATCTCCCAGTAGTCTTTATTATGGAATTCTTTCTTAATTGTTTGTTTTTGTCAGGGTTGCCATTTATTTCTGAGTTATTTATTCTGTTTCATTGGTCTATACATATGTTTTTATACCAGTACATGCTATTTTGGTTACTGTAACCTTACAGTATAATTTGAAGTCAGGTTGTGCTGATACAGGAAGGGGGCAGGGAAGTGCTGGGTAGAGAAGTGTGGGGTCTGTGGCTAGGGTTGTTGGATCATCTTCTTTTCCAAAACCCTGCAACCTCTCTGTTTTTCCCACAGGTTAAAGGCACTGTTTCTCTTCAGAGTTTAAACCACCCTAACTGAGGCAGATAAAACCCCCAGACCTATTTATTTAAATTTTTCTTTCTCTCTCATGTTTTGAAATGTCTCTCATCTTTTCTTTTATATTGTTAAGAGTTTTTCTACTGGCTGTGGCAATGTTACTAAGTAAAACGAGCATTTGGCTCAGCCCAAAGGTGGAAATCAGACCAACTGTTTTAGAGGCACCATCTCGGCCTCCACCCTCTGCCAATCACAGGCACACAGGGCTCAGGGCACCTCCCCTTACCATTTCTACTCCCAGCTGGGGTGCCTGGGAATGTCCACAGCAAACAAAAGCTGAGCCCAACAACTACGAGTTGGAGTGGGATAAAACCAGGACCCCAACAGGCCTATGGGTGGGCACTTCTCACCTGCTGTGCCACTGGAATGTTTTTCCCCTGGCCAAGGAATTCAACCTGGTCTGAACCGGGGAAAAGATACAGGATTAAAGGGACCCACTTGCAATGAGCAAGAAGTTCTTCCCCCAGGATCTCCTTCTGCTTTAGCACCTTAAACTTTTTTTCTCTGTTTTCCTTTTCCAAGGGAGAGGGCACCCCCTCCCCAGTACTCCATTTCCTTTTTTTTCTTTCTTTCTTTTTTTTTTTAAATTGTACTTTAAATTCTGGGATACATGTGTGGGAAGTGCAGGCTTGTTATATAGGTATACACGTGCCATGGTTGTTTGCTGCACCCATCAACCCATCATCTACATTAAATATTTATCCTAATGCTATCCCTCCCCTAGCCCGTCACCCCCTGACAGGCCCCAATGTATGATGTTTCCCTCCCTGTGTCCATGTGTTCTCATTGTTCAACTCCCCCTTATGAGTGAGAACATGTGGTGTTTGGTTTTCTGTTCTTGTGTTAGTTTGCTGAGAATGATGGTTTCCAGCTTCATCCATGTCCCTGCAAAGGACATGAACTCATTCTTTTTTTATGACTGCATATTATCCCATGGTGTATATGTGCCACATTTTCTTTATCCAGTCTATCATTGATGAACATCCGGGTTGGTTCCAAGTCTTTGTTATTGTGTATAGTGCTGCAATAAACATGCGTGCGCATATGTCTTTATAGTAGAATGATTTATAATTCTTTGGGTATATACCCAGTAATGGGATTGCTGGGTCAAATGATATTTCTGGTTCTAGATCCTTGAGGAATCGCCACACTGTCTTCACAATGGTTGAGCTAATAAAATAAAACATGAAGACAAGTTTAGATCACTCTGTGATCTAAACACTCTCTAATAGGGAAGTTGATGGAGGAATGGCCCCTGCTAGCTGATAACTACAAATTGGGCAGGGGCCATTTGAGACACTCTAAAAAATATAAACAGCCTCTGAAATATATTTTCAGTCCCAAACTTGATTTCAAGCTTCATTCTGAGGCCCCGAGAAAGAAAATCCGGGTCTGAGGGATCCAAAGCCAGGCAGCAGGCTCAATGTAAATGGGCAGGACAAATACTGCCAACTAAATCCCCACCCCATGAAATGAATCCATGCCCCATGGCATAAACTGGCCTAGGGAACTCAAAGGTTGTTGATATCAGAGAAAAAAGTAGGCATAGGTTAGGGTAGTTAATTCCTATTTTCTAGGTTTCCCCTGTTTCATGGGTGCATCCTGCATTGGTACCTATGTCCAGCACCTGCCAAGGTTGCCAGGACTCAGGGCTAAAAGATGAAAGGGAAAGGAAAGATGCTCATGTTCTCTCCCCATCACACCCTGAGTTTTCACTGAAACAAGGAAGAAAATGAGGGATGCACTATTCTCTGTTTTTCAGAATGGGCAACCAGCTCTCTTGACCACTCCCAGCTTGTGTTCCTCTGGAGTATATTCTGAACCATTGGGACTGCTTTGACCCTCAGAATCTGGAGGAAAAATGCCTCATAGCCTTCTGCACAAAGGTTTAGTCAAATTATGAAGGATTTTATTGGCCCCAAGAAGGACACATTCATTTTGATACCATAAAGCTGTTGCAACTTTTCTGTAGACATGAGGACAGATGGCCTGAAGTCCCATATGTGCAGGCTTTCCATACCTTGTAAGGCAATCCAGACCCTTGCCAGCAACGTAGGATTGATCCAGCCCTACTGTTTGCCATCGCAGGTAAGGCTGCAAGGGGCAACCCCAGGGAACTAAACTGACAAGTCCCAGAGGCAACCCTGGCAGTGGAGCCAGTTCCAGGTCCACCTTGACCTTCTTGACTAACTTCAGCCTCTCACATGCCCCCTCCTAGAAATCCTTGCCCTAAACAAGCCTCAGTCTCTCACCAACAGATGCTTGGTGAATTTGGCCCCAGTAAGGTCCTACTCCCCTTCTCCCTACAGGACGTAAAACAAATTAAGGGGGATCTTGGCAAGTTTTCAGATGACCTTGACAGATATATAGAGGCTTTCCAGAATTTTATCTAAATATTTGAACTCTCCTGGAGAGATGTTGTGTTACTTTTGAATCAGACCCTGACAGACACTGAGAAACATGCCACTCTGCAAGAAGCAGAGAATTATGGGGATGACCTTTGTATCTCGTATAGTGTCAGGGAAGGGAGTGAATATTATCCAACTGGAAGAGAAGAAGTACTGGTGAATGACCCTAAATGGAATCTCAATGACGAGTTGGAAGACTGGAAGAGGAGACACTTTCAGGTGTGCATAATGTGAGGCTTACATAGGAATAGAACCAAGCCCCTCAATTACACTCAGTTATTCACGATCAACCAGTGATTTGATTAAAATCCCACTGCTTTCTTGGAAAGGCTAACAGAGGCCCTGGAAAAGCATACCTCTCTATCTCTTGATTCAGTCAAGGGACAGCTAATCCTAAAGAATAAATGTATTAATCAGGCAGCTCCTGATATTAGGAGAAAGCTACAAAAACAGGCACTGGGGCTAGATAGTACTTTAGACGACCTGCTGGAAGTAGCCACCTTGGACTTTTATAATAGACACAAGGAGGCCCAGGAAAGAGAGAGGAAATACAGGAAAGAGTTAGAAGCTTTAATGGCCACCATGCAAGCCCAGTAGCCCCAGAGTTCCCAGGGTACACCTGGCAAATGCTAAGGATATGACGAGAATAGTTATCTCTCTTCTAAAGTGTAACTGCTTCCATTCAAGGTTTAATTTCTTTCACCAGGGTGAAATAGCTCAGAGCACAACGATGGTAGTATATTCCAATTCTTATATCTACAATCTTCAGCATAGATTCTTTCCTTGTATAATATACATGTTTAACCCATACATACTAAATCTTATAAAACTTTGTTTGTTTTTTATCTCACGCCTAGAAGCCATCAAACTCCAAATGGTCAGGCAACTGGAGCCTCAGATAATGGCTCCCCTTTGCCAGAAACCCTTAGGTAGACCTCTGGGAGGGATCTGACTACCGTTTTCCCCCAAAAAATGTCTCCTGTCAGCAGGAAGTAGCTAAGACTGGTCATTGTCCATATTGTAACAGCAGTTAGATGTATCTCTTCAGAAGGGAGAAATGATGTAGGAGGGAGGCAGGGAAGTGCTGGGTAGAGAAGGGTGGGGTCACTGGCTAGGGCTCTACCCTTGGGCCTATGCCCATGGACATAGGTGAGGACAGGCATTTCTGGTTTCGTGCCCAAATGTTGCATCTTTCAAGACCATCCTGGCCTACCACGCCCTTCGTTCTGTGCCTGTCAATACCCTGAGACCCTAGGAGGCACACACACAATCCGCTGAACATTGAGTGAAATACACTGGCAGAAGAATACACCAACAGACTCTAGCAGGCTATTGACAGCAGAATGATGTAGACTAGATGGAATTTGGCCGGCAGTGGTTGGAGGAGAGCCTGGCCACTGAGCGGCCCAGCTCCAGGAGAAGACCACCTTTCTACTCCATGTCCCTTCTGGCTACCATCCATCTGCTGAGAGCTACTTCTACCACACAATAATACCTTGCACTCATTCACTAAGCCCATGTGTGATTTGATTATTCTGGTACACTAAGGCAAGAACTCTGGGATACAGAAAACCCTCTGCCCTTGGGATTAGGAGAGGATCTAATTGAGCTAATTAACCCAAGCCACCTGTGGACAGCTGAACTGAAAGCACACATTGGTACATACACCCACTGGGGCTTCAGGAGCTGTAAACACTCAACCCTAGACATTGCTGTGGGGTAGGAGCCCACATTCCCCACAACCTGCCTGTCTGCATGCTACCCTTAGGGGTTTGAGCTGCAGGACACCTAAGAAGTGAGCCACAGCCACATGGCACACTCTGTGAGGGGGATAAGGGAACTTTTCCCATTTCAGTGTGATACCTCTACCTATGTTCTTTTTGCTTAGGATTTCCTTAGCTATTTGGGCTATTTTTTGGTTCTGCAAACATTTTAAAGTAGTTTTCCTGATTCTATGAAGAATTTCAATGGTAGTTTAATGGGAATAGCATTGAATCTCTAAATTACTTTGGGCATTATGGCCATTTTTACAATATTGATTTTTCCTATCCATGAGCACAGGATATTTCTCCATTTGTTTGTGTCTTCTTTTATTTCTTTGAGCAGTAGTTTAACAGTTCTCCTTGAAGAGGTCCTTAACCTCCCATTTTTATATTTTAACTTTATAATAATTATTTTACCTTAAATTAATTTTTGTTTTAGGCTAATATTTCATATGACTAATTGGTTGTATCATTACCTTTATTTTAATATACTCTAATTTTCTCACTAAGTTGCAATTTTACAGATCTCATAAACTCGCACAAACAGATATACACATGTTTATACTTACGGTGAATTCTAAAACATGTTTTCTACTTTATGAATCTATATTAATATTCCTTTGGAATGACTTTAATCTTAACATTTGATTGTAAGGTTTAATTGATTATATTTAAATTTTGATGAGATTGATGCCATTCATACAAAACGTTTAAACATACTTTACCAAAAAAGAGATATTCATAGATAGAATGTGATCCTTAAAAAAATCAGTAAAATTTGAATCCATAACACAGATGGAGTGATTAGTTTTATTATGGATGGGGTGCTTTTTCCATTTATAAGTAGAAAGTAACAACAATAGGCAATCGTGCTAAGTTTATAGTTTGTTACTTGCATGCTGAAGAATTTATTGTTGATGGATTCTGCATTATATATGTTGTTATTGTTTATACTAAGCTAGTCAACTTAATGCTGACATGTCTCCTGAATTTTGAGTAATTTCTAAAGCTTTTCAATGAATGATTTTTCTTTAATGTGACTTCTCAATTTTATTTAATTCTTATTGCTGATTTACTTCTCTAATTATATTATGTAAATTTTTATTAATTCATTTAACTCACTTTTAAATTTTTAAAGTGTTGTGCAAAATAGTGACATTGGTTGCTTTTGCCTGCCTATCCATTTTTTCTCTTAGGATATAATGATTTTTCTTTGTTAAATAGTCTTATTCCATTGCTTATAGTTTTAACTTGAGTCATTTAATGTTCTCCTCCTTCTTCAGTCTATGGCAATCTGTTGTGGAAATTTGATTTTTAATAGAAGAACACAGTGAAGAGAGGGTCGATGCCTAGTAACTTTACCAGTTCTTATTCTTTCTGAGACACAATTCTTCAGTTTTTCCTTTAATTGGTCAGCTTCCCAATAGATTTATTAAATGTATTTTATTGTATTTATGTTAACCAAATTCAATTGGTATTTTCAGCAACCATTATATAGCAAAAGATATAGAGTCGAGTAAGCCTAAAGTTTGATGGCAATAACTTTTAATTTGTTATTGAGCTGACAAGGGGCAAATTGCAGGGGAAATCTCATTGATTTTCTGTGATGTAAAAGTAACACCTCATAGTATCTAATTCACTATCACTTGTGGTCACATAAAACCCTATGCCTACTTTAGGAAAGTGTCCTGAATGATTGGGTAGCCAAATGTATAGAATAATTTGAAGAGGATGAGGAATTATCTAATGATGAAGGGAAAAAGACGGCTGCATACTAGCTTAAATAAAACAAGAGAACAGCATACTCAAATCCTTAATTTCTCACCACCAGTCATAAAATGTTAGAATTGTTATACAAAAAAAAATCATACTTCTAGGCACTGGATTGAAATCACTGGAGAAACAAAAGTCAGTGTTACATTTCTTGTGTAATTAATTAGAACATCAGTTGAATTCAAACCCCTCCTAGTTTTCTGACATGATAGTTAAAGAAATCCAAATAATCAGGATTGGGACATATGTGCAGATTCAAAAATTACACTTGTAAATTGACATTACAGATTTGATTGAACTGCCTTAACTCAGCCCTGAGTTCATTTCCAAATAATTCTTATTAAACTTTGCCTTTGGAGTAGCCTCTGAAAAATTCATTGGGCTGGCCTGGGAGTGTGGGGGAGAAAAATGTAAAGTTGCCATTCTGTAGCATCTTGGTAGCTCCTTGTGCCAGCAGTCTTTCTTTTATTTTTATTAACTAAATCAGTGGACCACTAGCAGAAGGCAGAGGTTATCATTTTAACAGTCTCCTGTGATTTCTCTCTCTTGGGTTAATGTCCTATCTTGTTGATTCTGCTCCACTAGTAGCTTGTGGGGACGACGAAAAATATCTTTTTGTATCTTCTCATCTTTTGATAAAAGTTGGATCTCTCCTTAACGTTGTTGGCTTCTCAGTATGACCTGTGCTACTCACATCCAAATGCTGGTGATACTGATGGAGTGCATTTGCTGGTTTTGAAGGAACTGTTCAAGGACTCCTTGTCCATGCCAATACCTAGTGTGAGGAATCCAGGCAAGCTGAGGCTGTGCCCTCCATGGCTTCTCTAGAATGTGATCTGCCTCTCATTACAAACTCTAGCTGCAGTGCTTTCCCCCTCTAGCAGATGGCCCTTTTGAGAACTGAAAATGGCAATTTGAGGACTGGCTACTTCTCACAAATTCTTCTGAATCCACATAAACTCATGTTAATTTACTATATCCAATTTAAAATATATTGTTTTTGCCATCCAAATATGTTCTGCTTTTCTCTATATGGCCCCTCCTATTGATGTGACACTAATAATCAGATACTAGACACAAAATAAAGTATAACTTAGGGAGTGGAGGAGTTCAGACGGATGAGGGGAGAAACAGATTCTTATTTCCTGAAAAGACAGTGTGCTCTTTCCCTAGTTGCTTTTATATAGACAACAGAGTGTGTGGAGATGATGGGAAACTATTCAGTTTCTCCTAGAATACCACTGCTTAGTAAATCTTCTACTGGAGTCTTTGACAATCTCTCATATTGAATAGTGAAGCACCCTCATGCTTTATACTTAAGCTGTGAGGTAACTATATGCTTGTTTTTGCATTATTCTTCAGCAATAATGATTGGAAATGGCCATTATGTAAGGAATCAACTATATGTCTCAAGTTTTTAGATATAATAAAACCTTACATCACCAAATTCCAAAGTGAACAAAATATAAATTCGTCATGAACTGAGGTAAAATGTAGATGTAAAATAGAGAGACATAGAGTTTTTACTCATTAAATGTAGCAGAAGCAGTGCATTAACATCTTAAGGACTGTTCTTAGTAATGAATTTTGAGACTATTGAGTAAAGAAGCAAAAACAATGTTATATCAGACTTAACTTGCCCCTGTAGATATTATTATTAGAAATCTTGTGTTTCCTTAGTTGAGTCAGATTTCTAGTGTAAATCTGTATGCAGACTTGGTGCCTAAATGCCATTGGATGGACAGAGATATCACATGCCCTTTTAAGATGTTAGGATTCAAATACATTAAATTCAGAAAGATTCTGAAGTGCTTAGTTAGTTTAACAAATACATCAAAAACTCTTACCTTATTATATTCTCTGAAAGATACTAGAATTTGCTTTCTTCACCAACACTTTAAATAAGGAAGATATTTGCCAAAAAAAAAAAAAAACAAAACACACAGATTACCCGCCAGGCACGGTGGCTCACACCTGTAATCCCAGCACTTTGGGAGGCCGAGGCGGGCGGATCACGAGGTCAGGAGATCAAGACCATCCTGGATAACATGGTGAAACCCCGTCTCTACTAAAAATACAAAAAATTAGCCGGGCGTGGTGGCGGGTGCCTGTAGTCCCAGCTACCCGGGAGGCTGATGCAGGAGAATGGCATGAACCCGGGAGGTGGAGCTGGCAGCGAGCCGAGATCGCGCCAGCCTGGGCGACAGAGCAAGACTCTGTCTCAAAGAAAAAAAAAAAAAAAAAAAAAAAAAAGAAAAAGAAAGAAAAAAAAGACACACAGATTACCAAAAATGCACCTATGAATAATGAACTAAACAGTTCCAATTGAAATGGGCTCTCCAATTTTAGTATGTCTGTGTGGATTGCAAACATAGAATCCAAGTATAAGAACCATAGTAAAGTTTTTAAAAAGAACAAAGTTGATATGAGTAACATGATGGGTATAAGGACAGGCACAGTAATCCAATCATCTCCAAAGAAATGTCTGAGAGGATATAATTAGTTATAGGTCCATAGGAAAGAAATTTTTAGGCCACCCCTAAGGAATTATTTGATATATATATAAAATTAATAACTACCTTAATTCTGTTATTATTTGTTATTGTATAATATTTTCTTATACAACCTAGTATGTCTGATATATTACAGAGTCACCATGTTCCTTTTTTTCAGTTAATGTGTGAGTCTTATTATCAACTACTGAAATAAGTAGAACTGTTCGAAAAAACCTGAGGTCCATATTGTGACATACTGTGATCCTTTCTTAACTGTTTCCCTAAAGGGACCAATGATCTTGCATTTATTTTTCTCACAATCTAGCTTTGAAGAAACAAAAAAAAAATACAGAATTGTTGAAAATTATTAGACATTGGATCTTATCTAGTTATAATCCTTAATCTTTCAGGATCTAAAACAACACTGGTCTGCTGGTGTCAGTGGAAATCAAGAGTGTCAAGAGACAAATTGAGTTTACATGAGTGCTACATGGCAGGCACAGGTGAACTCAAATCTTTCTGGTGGTCATTTTTCAGATCTTAAATTCAGAGTTATAATTGGTATACTATCATCTGCAAACATTTAAACATAGCTACTGATGTGTGGATGAAATTTATATTTCCAGTAAGGGTCAAATGGAAATTATTAAAGTTATTATTTCAAAAATAGTCGACCAAAAGCCATATCTCATTTCCAAAAGAATTCCCAAGATATTCAATCATCAATGACTTGAAAGGTTGACTTCTCTCATGCCTCTTTTTAACATTGCAGTAGATTTCAAGGAAAAGTTTGATAGTTTTGGGGAAATTACATGTTTACTATATATATAATTAAATAAAAATAACATATTTCATCAAATTATTTTACTTTCCTCCTGAGCACATAGGTATATCACTTTGCCCCACTCCCCTGCATTCAGATAGGACGAGGTGGGTGAGTTCTGGACAATTGTGGGCAGAAATGAAACATAATATTACTAGGATTGATGAAAAACCATAATTATAATAGTTTACACACTTTCCTATCCTGAAAGTGCATGTCTCAGCATGGGTGGAAGTGACACATTCCAAAATAGTTGTGCCACATGATGGAAAAACTCCGCTTTCCTGAGTATGTCAATTAGAATATAGCCACCCAAGAAATCCACCAATCCACCAGTCCAGAGTTATCTGTATCACACTATGTGTAAGCAAGAAATTAATCTTTGTTATACAAATTTACTAGGATTTTAAGGTTGTTTTGTTAGCTTATCCTAATGAAACAAAGGTGGAGCTACTTCTCAGTTCCTTATTATAGTTACTCAGTTCTCCTAGTGACTGCTACTAATTTTTCACTCTACTCATATTAAAAATAAAAATAAATGGCAGAAGTTTACTGTCTTTCTTAAGAGATATTTCCATCTGTTTCAGATATATATCTGCTCTCTGTTTTTTTTTTCATACAGTATATGCTCCAAGGAACTTGTCTATCTTGCAGTTTTCACAGCACATAAACCTGGTAAACTGTATTGACCAAATCATGCTGACATTTTCTATATGTTGGAAAATAATAGTTACGTTATATGTTTTTGTAAGACACAGAGCTTACAGAAGATGGGGAATAAATCACACACACACAAACACATACACACCAATTCTGAGACTTGCCACTTAAGTGGAGTTTCTCACAATGCAATTATGTGGAGTTTTAGGAGCTAGCCAACAAATTGAAGGATAATTTTCAATAGCTTCAAACTGAAATTATTACATGTCGCATACTTGAATGGAAACAAATACACCTTAAACAATGTCCTCAATTATCTTACTCATTGTTCTACTCATTGCCCCTAGAGAAATGCCTGCATAAGGTAGGAGCCAATTTATATTTATTGAATGAACATTAGTTTGCTTTCTGTGTTTCCTGCAGATATTATTTTAATTTGTCTGCATCTAAGAGAAAATATCTAACTTAAATGATCTTAAATAATTTTGCTTATTTTTAATTTTTTATTCCTTCCCTTCTCCTTTCTTCATTTCTTGTCTCTCTATCTTCTTTCTTCATTCTTTTATTCATTCATTAGTTCATTTGTTTCTTCTCTCCTTTTCTTCCTTTCTTCACCTATTTGTAAACTATTTGTTTTAAGTTTGACATGGTTTTCTGACATCAATCCTGTATATGCTGCACTGATATAAAGTTGTTACTCACCTGTAGAGTATGCTGATCAGTTTCCATTCTAAGTGATCCGTGCTCGAGTTAAATAATTTTTACATTCTTCTTCTATCCAGCCCCTTTTAAGACACATTTACTACTTGAAGGTTAGTATAAGCAACTCAAAGTTAACATATCCCAACAGAGCACATAGCAGTTTCCCCAATAACCTCATTTGGTTTACATTCTCAAATAACAGCAGCACAGAAGTCCAGTCTTTCCAACCCTTTCATGTAAACTGTATAATGAATTCCATCCTCTTAAACGTTTGTCTTTACTTTCCCCAGCCCCTGATTCCACCCCCGTTAATGTGGCCACTGACTCCCTACCACCTAAAACAAGGCAATAGTACACTGACTGGTTTCCCTCTTCATTGTTTTACAGACCTCTAAACAAGCATTTTCCAATTGAATTTTTCAGAGAATCTGAGATGAGCTACAGTGAAGAACCTATATAGAATTGTACTACAGAAGATGTGCTATCTAGTCAGACTGCCTTCATTTAAATTTTAGCACTTCCCAGTACATAAAACAATATCAGCACATAATATGTGCTTAATACATATTTTGGAGTTGAAAAGATAATCCACTAATAGATAAATATTATGGGAATGTTAGTTAACTTTCTTAAATCTCACTTTCTAATCTTATATTGGTGGTGAATAATAGTACGTATATATCGGCTAGCAATTAATGCATTGAGCTGAAAACATTTTTAGGAACTAAGAATGGGTAAAGGCAGAGGTGAGTTAATTTTGTCATGTAAAAGGTTACATACTAAAAGTAGGCACTTTGAGATTGGATGTAGCTGGGTTATCACAAACACAAGCTTCTTTTAGTTCTCCACTCTTCTATACAAAATGTGTGGCCTCTCAGATTTTATGAAATCTTGGTGCATCTCCTGTCATCACATTTATATTCCAAACAAAAAGAAGTCAGAGAGAGTAAAGGGTAGATACACATATCCCTTTACATCAGGAAAACAATAACCTTGCTGGATTCCTCACTGAACAAACTCTGCTTACTTCTCACCAGACAGAACTGGGACACATAGTTAACACTCAACTGCAAAGAATCAATGGGAATAGTTTTTTTTACTGTGCAAGTAATATAAACATTTTACACCATAATTCTGGTTATTTTAGTAAGGTAGAAGGAGAGAATAGATACATATGAACATATCAACTTTCACTACTAAATGAATCCAGCTACTTGCAGTTTAAACAACAATCATTTATTGTTCACATGCCTGTGGGTCAACTGAGTGATTCTGTTGACATATATTCAGCTCTACTGAATTCAGACTGTCTCATGTCTTCTGGGGTCTGAATGGTTTGGCAGTATGACCCAATCACTACCCCAACTCGGTGGCAAGGAGTAGGGTAGTGACTGGGCTATGTATCTCATCACCCAGAAGGCTAATCTGGGCTTGGTCAGAAGGCAGCAGACAGCATAGTTCTAAAAGCAGCAAAAGATATGACCCAATGTGCAAGCTATTCTCACATCTTGTAGGTTTGCATAACTTTGCTACTGTATCTTTAGCCAAATTAAGTTATATAGTTCAGCAAGCCCAGAGTTAATGTGGAAAGATGCCACCAAGCAGCTTAGTTACAGATAGAAAAAACAATCAGATTTGGAACGTTACTGTAATCAATTTAATACAGTTCCTAGCTGTGCTTGCCTCAAGAAACCATAAGTATTATTTTTGGAAATAAGTATGATGACTCAAATAAAATGCATAGCACAACATCTTCAGCATAATCAATGTTCCATCAAATTTAGTTATAATTTTTAAGCATTTAAAGTTATTTTTCTTATTTTCCTTGATAACAGAAATCTTTTCCTCCTTTTTTAACATTACATATAATCCCACTAAACCATTGTTATATGGAATTATATCTGGTGAAATCCTACTCTGAGCTCTTCTTCACAATTCTTCCAGCTTAGACTTTTCAGATAAAAATATGATCCTGCCATTTTTTTACTAGGCTCTTCAAGGACTTCCCAGGGTGACCTCATAAAAAGCAAACTGTGAGCTTGGCATGGAAGGGCCTTTGTTAGGATAGCTATACATATCCCTTCTACATATTCATTACTTTTGATAGTAACACTTCCATAATTAGTGTGTATATATATTTATTATACTTTAAGTTCTAGGATACATGTGCAGAACGTGGAGGTTTTTTATGTAGGTACACACATGCCAAGGTGGTTTGCTGCAGCTGCACCCATCAACTTGTCACCTACATTAGGTACTTCTCCTAATGTTATCCCTCTCCTAGTCCCCCAACCCCCAACAGGACCAGGTGTGTGATGTTTCCCTCCCTGTGTCCATGTGTTCTCACTGTTCAACTCCAACTTATGAGTGAGAACTTGCAGTGTTTGGTTTTCTGTTCCTGTGTTAGTTTGCTGAGAATGATGGTTTCCAGCTTCATCCATGTCTCTGCAAAGGACATGAGTTCATCCTTTTTTGTGACTGCATAGTATTCCATGGTATATATATGCCACATTTTCTGTATCCGGTCTATCATTGATGGGCATTTGGGTTGGTTCCAGATCTTTGCTATTGTGAATAGTGCTGCAATAAACATACGTGTGCATGTGTTTTTATAGTAGAAAGATGTATAATCCTTTGGGTGTATAGCCAGTACTATTTGAAATATCTAAATATATTTAAAATATTTAAAATAATGTAAGCTTCTCGTTTCCTCATTCTCAGGAAACAAGATGATGTTCTTTATAGATTGATATATTTGATATTAATATTGCTAATATGACACACACTAGTGGCGTGAGATTTATACTGATACATTTTTATTTTTAATTGAAGTATATATTAATGCCTTGGAGTCTATAATATATGTGTTATTTCTAAACTATATATTGTCTTTAGGTTGATATAATTTAGAAATAACACATATATCATATATTCCAAGTCATTAATATGTAGTTCAATTAAGTGGAGAATATGTGACGTACAAATTTCAAGAAATAATTCCAGAAGGGGTAAAATGTTCCAAAATCTAGATTAAATGCACTCTAAATGGATGGATTGACTAAAGCAGTATTAATATACAAAACTCGCATTCAGTCTGTGAGGTTATTCCACAGCGTAAATTCTCGCTGTGATTAACTCCACTGTACCTCAAATGCAGTGAAAATATTCGTACTCTTAGACTCACAGTACCTTGTTCTGAAATGGTCTTTCTGTTGTGAGGGTACATCTCTGGTGTTTCTTGTGTGTCCAGATTTTCTCTTCTTTTAAGGAAACCAGACAGATTTTACTAAGATTCACCCCAAAGGACTTATTTTAACTAAATCACCTCTTTAAAAGCCTTATCTTCAAATATAGTCACATACTCTAGCACTAGAGTTTAGGATTTTAACGTATGCATTTGTAGGGTACCCACTTCTGTCCATAAGAGATAGTAAACTCCATGAAGGTTAAATGTATGGCTAGTTGTCTTGCAATTGAATCTGCAGAACTAGTAGAGCAGTTGGCCTATAGGAGATACTCAATATTAATGTGTTAAATTAATGAATTATTTGGCAAATAAATTATTTGATATTTCCCTGTCTTTCAACATAGTCTTTCTTTTTTTTCATTTTATATAGCCACCAAAGTCAATAATGAGAATCCCTAATACGGGGTTCATAAAAAGGTTATAAATTTCACTAAGGGCTGATACACTTTATAAAATCTAGTTATTAAGTTGCTATGGGAAACCAGAATACATATGAACAAAACTCTTTATTGAGAATAGTGGATTATTTTCATTACATGTGATATTGTAAAAGTACCTGGCACAGTAGTAATTCCAAGGCAAATCAAAAAGTTACTGTGAATGATGGGCTGTATGTGGCACAGTTGTAGCCACACAAGAGCATCAAACTTCCTCTGGTGATATTTGTAGCTACTTACTAAAATATGAAATTGGTAGTTTAGTTAAAATATTTCTGAAATTAAGCTGTGTTGTATTAGTCAACTTGGGCTGCTATAACAAAATAGGCCAAGTGGCTTAACAACAGACATATATTTTTCACAGTTCTGGAGGTGAGGATGTCCAAGATAAGATGCCATCAGATTCAGCTCTGGGGGAGGGCCATCTTCCTGGCTTGCATTTGATCTTTTTCTTGCTGTGTTCTCTCATAACAGAGAGAGAGTGGGAGTGTGAGTGAGCCGAGCGAGACAAGACTCCAGATGTCTGGTCTGGTCTCTTTTTATAAGGGCACCAATACAATTATGGTGATGCTATACTCATGACCTCATCTAAATCAATGTCCTCATCTCCGAATACCATCCCATGGGGGATTAGGGCTTCAAAATTTAAATTTTGGGGGAACACAGCTCAATTCATAGTACATATTATGTAGAGATATAAAATATATAAAGTAATCCTATTTCTCACTATATTTTCAAATTTTTTATAATCCATACCATTTTTAATCATCATTGTATTAATACTTAAAACATAACAAACACAACATATTTTAAATAAAAACATGAATTATTTAAATAAAGTTGATGCTTGCTTTTAACATTTCATACCCAGGACATAAGATTATCTGATATAATTTCCTTTGTAAATTATTTTATTCATAACGGATCTATCTACCATTTATTCAATAATTTCCTGGGCATACATTTAATGAGTAAATATTTTTAATGAGTTTGGCATTGGCACAATTAGGTACATAGCACTGTCTTCTAGAATAGCTATCTCAGATGCTCTTTAAACATTAAAGAAAACTTCTAGATTATATACAAGATTAAGAATTATATAGGAATAAGAAATAATGAAAGTGTGTTGTGGCTTACGTGTTTTTGTACTACATTTTAAAGAATGTTAGCTTTGAAGATTACTTATGTGACTTACATGAAAGTCTGATAAAATGCATTTAGAACAAAATGAGTTAAAAATAGTTGAACAAGAAACTTTAGTGCAAATTTGCTGTCATGAATATGTTCTTTGATTGTGACTTTCATTCTCTGAGAGTACAATAGAAGACAAATCTTTTAAAAAATAATTAGCCAGAAACTCTGAAAGGAGAGAAATATGTTACAAATGTTCTCTAAAACTTTTACTTACCTTAAGGCAGAATGATATTGAATCAGCATTTTATCTTATTTTTTTTCAGCTAATTGAGGTAGAGAATGACTTTTACAGTCAAACCTGTATTCTCAAACTCATTTATAGTTCTGTGTAAAATAATACAGCCAGAAATAGTCATCTTACTTTCTGAATATATCTATAAATACATATAAATGCCTAAATACGTATATATGCATATATGTGTGTATAAATATAATTATAGGTTTATTTTGTAAACCTTTAATCAGGTGTTGGCTTTTATATCAAAGGCTTTTTTTTAAATATATAATGATCATGCGATTTTTAAATTTTTGTGTTTTGGATTTCATTATGCTAATATACTGTATAACAGTGTTCTGTCTTTCTAATATTAGGCCAACTTTTCATTTCTGGAGAAATATTGACTTGGTCTTGACATATCTTATGTTGAAATTGTCTGATCTTAAGTTTTTTTTTAATTTTAACCTCTTTTTATTATAAACGTCTTTAAAATTTATGACTCTATTCAAATTTTATTTCTTTTCACTTCAATTTTTGTAAGTTTGGCTAATTTCATCCAATGTTATTTGGTTGTTAATATCCTCAATATTATCAATTTAATGTCTGTAGAATCCCCCCTTTTAATTTATAATTAATAATTAGTGTTTTCAGATCGCTTTTCCTTCAATAGTCACTTTTGGGATGTATATACATACTAAAATACACATATATTTATATAATCAAGGGATCAAACCGTTTAAAAATTTCTTAATTTACGTGTGTTTTCTATTTTATTATTTATAATATTTAGAATTATTTTTCTTTTTAAATTATCAGGCTTAATTTGCTCTTATATTTTAGCTTCTTTAGATGATATCTTGATTAATATGTTTCCTATTTTTCTTTTTGTAATAGGTGAATTTGTGACTATAAATTTTATGCTTATAACAGGTTTAATTGCAGCTACAAGTTTTGATATGCTGTGTTTTATTATTATTGTTTACTAATTTATACTTTTATGCCTTATTTTACTTATTTTCTTAGAAGCACATGGATTAATATCAAAATGTTTTGGTGATTTTGAATATGAAGAGTGTGTAATTAAATTTTATTTTAATTTTATATAAGATTTAAATTATTTATGTAAGATTTAAATTATTTAAAATTTGTTGACACATAATATTAGTGCTCAGCATGTTAATTTTGGCCCAGCCCACATATATTTATTTAAAAGGATATGCAAACTTTAAATCTTGCATTCAGTGTTCTATGTATGTGCTTTTGTTAAGTTTTTACACTAGTTTTCCAAATATTCAATATTTCTGTGGACGTTTTGATTTTTGTATCTGTATCTCAAAGAATTCTTTTAAAATAATTCTGTACAATTATGAATTTGTGTACTATTCTTTTTAATTTTTAGTTTCTGCTGCACATATTTCGAGGCTGAGCTATGAATTACAAACATTTAAGCCTGTTACATTATTCTTTAGAATGACTATTTTTATTATGAAATATCCCTTTACAATTCTTATCCTTCTGTGTTAAAGTTCACTTGGCACAGTAACTTTTTGGGTTGCTATTTGCTTCATAAATATCTCTCTACATGTTTGTTAGCAATCTTCTTGCATCTGTGAATTTAAAATTTTTGCCTTTTCTTTTTTTTTTTAATTATACCTTAAATTCTGAGGTACATGTGCAGATTTGTTACATGGGTATACACTTGCCATGGTGGTTTGTTGCACCCATCAACCTGTCGTCTACATTAGGTATTTCTCCTGATGCTATCCCTCCCCCAAGTCCCCAACCCCACAACAGGCCCCAGTGTGTGATGCCCCCGGCACCCTGTGTCCATGTGTTCTCATTGTTCAACTCCCACTTATAAGTGAGAACATGCAGTGTTTGGTTTTCTGTTCTTGTGTTAGTTTGCTGAGAATGATGGTTTTCAGCTTCATCCATGTCCCTGCAAAGGACATGAGTTCATCCTTTTTAGGGCTGCATAGTATTCCATGGTGTATATGTGCCACATTTTCTTTATCCAATCTATTATTGATGGGCATTTGGGTTGGTTCCAAGTCTTTGCTATTGTGAACAGTGCCGCAATAAACATATGTGTGCATGTGTCCTTATAGGAGAATGATTTATAATCCTTTGGGTATATACCCAATAATGGGATTGCTGAGTCAAATGGTATTTCTAGTTCTAGAATGTTGAGGAATCGCCACATTGTCTTCCACAATGATTGAACTAATTTACACTCCCACCAAGAGTGTAAAAGCCTTCCTATTTCTCCACATCCTCTCCAGCATCTGTTGTTTCTTGACTTTTTAATGATCGCCATTTTAACTGGCATGAGATGATATCTCATTGTGGTCTTGATTTGCATTTCTCTAATGACCAGTGATGATGAGCTTTTTTTCATATGTTTGTTGACTGCATAAATGTCTTCTTTTTAGAAGTGTCTGTTCATATCCTTTGCCCATTTTTCAATGGGGTTGCTTTTTTTATTCCTTGTAAATTTGTTTATGTTCATTGTAGATTCTGGATATTATCCCTTTGTCAGATGGACAGATTGCAGACATTTTCTCCCATGCTGTAGGTTGCCGGTTCACTTGGCTGATGGTTTCTTTTGCTATGCAGAAGCTCTTTAGTTTAATTAGATCCCATTTGTCAATTTTGGCTTTGCTTGCCATTGCTTTTGGTGTTTTAGTCAGGAAGTCTTCACCCATACCTATGTCCTGAATGGTATTGCCTAGGCTACAGTAACCAAAACAGCATCATACAGGTACCAAAACAGATATGCAGACCAATGGAACAGGACAAAGCCCTCAGAAATAACACCACACATCTACAACCATCTGATCTTTGACAAACCTGACAAAAACTAACAATGGGGAAAGGATTCCCTATTTAATAAATGGTGGTGGGAAAACTGGCTAGCCATAAGCAGAAAGCTGAAACTGGATCCCTTCCTTACACCTTATAAACAAATTAACTCATGATGGATTAAAGACTTAAATGTATTTAAATTTTTTTCTAAGTAATATGCATTAATTTTCTATTAATGCCGAACAAATTATCACAAATTAAATGTTGTTTTAGCATCTTAAAACAACCTATATTTATTACATCACACTTTCTGTGGGTCATAAGTTTGGATGTAGCTTAGCTAATTTCTCTGCTTGGGTGTCACTAGGCTGCTGTCAAAATTGTGGTTCTGCTGTGTTCTTAACTGGAGATCAAACTGGGAAAGAATATTTCTAAGCTTATTCATATGTGGTAAGAATTTATATCTTTGCTATTAAAGGTCTGACAGTCCCAGATTCTTCCTGGTTGTCACCTGTAGGCTACTCAGCTCCTTGAGGCCACCTGCAGTTCCCTGAAGCTGGCCACAGTTTCTTGCTACATTGGCTTTGTATCATGGTTGCTTACTTCATCAAGCCAGCAAGAAGAATCTCTAGAATGAGTGTGCTAAAATGAAGGGATTTCTGTAATAAAACTGAATGCAATGCAGGTGCTATATTCATCAACTTTGTAATAATCTAACCTCTAAAAGTAAGACACAGGTCCTGATCACACTCAGGGTAGCCAGGAAAAGTGTGTAATAACACAAAGTCTTGAAGACCAAAAGGCCAGGAAGTGGAGACATGTTTGTCTGCCACACAACATATAGTTTATTTTCTTTTAAAATCTAGTTTGGTGATTGGAATCTTATAATTGGATTGTTTACTCCATTGGCATTTAATGTTATATTCGATATTTCTAGAAAGCTATAGCAATTCTTTCTATTAATCGATTTGTTTTTTTTTTTTTTGGCCAAGCTGTTGGCTTAGCTTCATTTTTCTTTTCTTTTCATTTTAAGAATTCTACTCTTCCAAGTTATTGTAATTTTCTACCTTTATCTCACTAATTGTACATTATTTTATTAGTTTCTTACTAGAAATTCTATAGGTTATAACATACGTACTTGACTTAGAGTCTACTATGAATTAGGACATTATTAGTTCTTAGATAAAATAATGGCTTTACAACACTTTAAATCTGTTTATCATATTCCACATTTTGTGGTGGTGCTTTCATATATTTTATATCTAGATACATTTTATGTCTCACATAAAACAATATCAATAATATATATATTCAATATGCACTTGAATTCACCTTTTTACTCCTATTTTAAGGTAATTTCATCTGGCATTATTTTCCTTCTGCATGAAAGAGATTATCTGTTAGTGTACTTTTTTGTGCAGGTTTGCTGGAGATTAATTGTTAGTTTTTGTTTGTCTGAAAGTATCTACTTTTACCCGTTAATTATATGTACATATTAAAGGTCACGCACATCTGGATTTTATTTTTTAAAAATTTTGCAAATCTGGATTTTATTTTTAACAAATTTACTGTTTAATGTTTATATTATGCATATAAATGGGCCTGTTATTTCTTAACATGATTATGAATATAATTTTGACTCTAGTTTCTCTTAATGCAACAAAAATCACTTTTAAAATTCTACTTCACTTGGCTTATCTCTTGAGGGCTATTTTCATTTTAATAAACAGTGTAAAATTATAGTGTTGACAGTCCTCATAAAATTACACCAAATATGAAATGCTAAGGGAAATGAGTTAAAATAAGACCTAGAGGCCATGGTTTTTATTTAAAATGAATTTGTAAATTCACTGCATTACACAGACAGCCCATCACAGAAAGCATAGCAGAATATAAAATAAAATCTATCATTTTAAAGAGGATATACATTTTCTATTATAAAACACCAGCAAATTTCAGAAAAATGAAATAAGATAAGGATTATGTTTTCTAACAAAGAGCATATTACAGTCATCATTAAAATTACATTTCACACTTTAATTTGATATTAGTTCTGCTGAAACTAGGGTTTACATTGATACATAATTCAAATGTTTTTAACACTAAATTTTTCTCAAGCAATTTTACTGGACCAAAAAAAGGTAAATTTAACAGGTTGTTTTAAATGATATAATAAAACTTGCCAGGATAAACACCTTGCTACTACTATGAAAAATAATACTAAAATAATTAATATTAATTATTGGTTTACATTTTTGCAAAACATTGTGTTGAAATCTGTAATTAAGTTGTCAAGTAGTTACTTAAATTTTGTTTAGTGAGTATTATTAATTATTTCAATTTAAAGGTGTGAAATGGTGACAGAGACATAATAAGTAACTTTTGGGAATGGCATAGACAGTACATTTGGAAACAGTTTTCAAATTCAGGCAATCTAGTTTTAGAGCCTCTGAATGTCAATATTTGTGCTTAACTGCTGTTTCAATTGGTGGAGGCAATAATGCAAACAATAATTTCAAAAACTGAAATGACAGTTTCTTGAGAATATTTCTTGAGAAATGGATAAAGCCTATTTTCTATTTAACAATGTGTTGGGCCTTGTGATTCATTTTAAAGCTATTCAAATTGGTAAAGCAAAATCTTTGCCCTCCTGGACTTCACTGTCAATGAGAGAAAATAAATACATAACATACTGTAACGTGTATTAAAATATAGATAAGTATAAATAAATGTGGGGGAGCAAGTGATTTTCCTGGAAATTAGATAAATTCAGAGAAACAGTAGAGTGCTTCTTCTTTTTGAAAAATTACCCAGAGTTCTTTAGGTAGCAAGAGGTAGATGACTCTTAGGAGTTGGAACAATAGGCCAGGTGCAATGGTTTATGTCTGTAATCCCAGGATTGGGAAGCCAAGGTGAGAGGTTTGCTTGAGCCCAGGCGTTCCAGATCAGTCTAGCAAAACATGATGAGACTTTATTTCTACAAAAACGAAAACAATTAGCTGGAAGTGGTGGTGCATGCCTGCAGTCCCAGCTACTCAGGAGTCTGAGGCAGGAGGATGGCTTGAGCCTGGGAGAGCGAGGCTGCAGTAAGCCATAATCCTGCCACTGCACCCCAGCCTGGGTAACAGAGTGAGACCCTGCCTCAAAATAAATAAATAAATAAATAAACATTTAAAAAGTGGAAACAATAATAGCACGGTGGCCTGAATTTCCAAAGCATGCTTTTGAAATGGTACAACATTACATGTGATTATCACAGGAACAGACTCAGCCAGGTATAATGGGAAAAGTAAGGATGGGAAATTTGCTAGGTTATAATTGGCACTGTGTAACAGGTTATGATTAAAGTGTAATTTATTGGAATTACCAAACACTATAATGGAGCTATTCTAGTGAATTTTCTTATAGGTAAATGCCATTTCTTCACACTCACATAGAATATGAGTAACATATTTGACTGAGAATTGCTAATTAGGTTTGTGCACTTATTTTGGTGTCTGAAGGATACACTTAATTCCCTAGATATCTGAGTTTAGATATCTTACATTAGAAATCAAAATGTGTGCCGGGCGCAGTGGCTCACGCTTGTAATCCCAGCACTTTGGGAGGCCGAGGCGGGCGGATCACGAGGTCAGGAGACCATCCTGGCTAACACGGTGAAACCCCGTCTCTACCAAAAATACAAAAAAAATTAGCCGGGCGTGGTGGCGGGCGCCTGTAGTCCCAGCTACTCTGGAGGCTGAGGCAGGAGAATGGCATGAGCCCGGGAGGTGGAGCTTGCAGTGAGCTGAGATCGCACCACAGCACTCCAGCCTGGGGGACAGAGCGAGACTCCGTCTGAAAAAAAAAATCGAAATGTGTCACCTGTAGAAATTATGAGACCTCATCCTTAACCTAAGGAAGTTCGTTAGCCATAAATAATGCTTCAGGAAAGTGTGAAAACCATATTTAACTATGCAAGAAATAGATGAAGCACAAGCATAGAGTACCAGCGAAGGGGATACTCAAGAAATAATTAAAAGACATTATAGATACGTATAAATACTTTATATGTATAAGTATATTCTCAGGAATGCTTACAATTTTATTGATTTTCCTAGCATTTATTTTACAGTTCAGTATCGCTATAATTTAGAATAACACATATAGGTTGCATCATTATTTTTATATTTTAGACTCCCCTCAATGTAGTTCCAAGTGAAGAAGCATGAGGTAGGAATTAGTTATGAAAGCATTTCTCTATCCTCAGAGGAAGGCTTCCTTTGGATTCTTCAGAGAATCTTTAACCATTTTCGTTTCATGATTATTACTTGAGAGCCCATTGCAGTGGATTATTTGATCCCAGAGCATTCAGTAGGTCGCCTAAAGAATACACCAAGGCATAAAGAATGTAGGATTTGTGTTCCAGGTACCATTCCAAACTATGGAGAGTTCCTTAGGAGCAGCTTCACTGGCTTATCAGAGTCTGGTTGCTTCAGGGTGAGGTTCTGAAACACCAGGCTTGTAGGTCAGAGTAGTGGTTAGAAACAGCCAGAAATGGACAGAACCAGCTACATAAAGCTGATCTTGGAAAATACTGAGTGAAGGAAACCAAAACCAAAAAGTACAGATGTTTCAAGCCACAGTAAAAGTTTGCAGCCAGACCCAGGAGATGAAGCCAGAGTCAAGCAATGTGTAGTTCCAAGATGCTCTATGAGATATGATCCCTTCTGTTCTCATAACATTGTAGGTTCATTTTATTATGGCCATATAGTATATTCTAATATGCTGTCTAATCAAATCAATGGAAATCAATTATTGTTTGTTTAGGAAACTCATGTTTTTATTTATGTATTTATGTATTTATTTATTTATTTATTTATTTTAAGAGACAGAGTCTCAGTCTGTCACCCAGACTGAAGTGATCATAGTGATCATAACTCACTGCAGCCTCTAACTCCTGAGCTCAAGCGATCTTCCCACCTTGACCTCTCAAAGCCCTGGGATTACAGACATTAGCCTTCACTACCAGCCTATAGTCTCTAGATCTGACTAATTTTATAAGACATATTGGGAGAAATATCAAATTTTAACCAAAAACTGTCAGAGACTTACACTTAAAAAAAAATAGAATTTTATAACCATATTATATTGAGTACAAAATTACAATGTTATTAAAAAACAAAAATTACTTCTTACCTTAATATGTAAATTTAATTTATTCTATTTAATGTTCTATTTTGGTTTGATAGTTTAATGAACATCTTTATGTAAATGTCTTGTGGAGAAAGTATAATGCTATTTTTAATCACTCAGATACTCATTTATTCATTTATCATTTTCATTGCCTTACTAGATTGATTTCCAATTCTTCAAATTGTTATAATTTTAGAAAACAGAACTGTTCTTAATCACATACATTGATTAGTTGATGGTAGCTGCAGCTTCTACAAAAGCAAAGATACATTTTCTATATAATAAATCAAACTTCTGTAAAAACATTACCTGCTCAACTTTAAACTGCATTGAGTTTATTGCATGCAAAACTGCTAAAGTCATCTATGTTTATTTACCCTTGTTTATCATGACAAGATAAAAACAATACAATTTATGAGAAGCATGAAGGCGGTAACAGTGGTTTATTTTTAATTATCTCCCTTCCTCCTGTGACACCAAGATATCATTTTGCACTCAGCTGAGTATAGAAAAGTAAGAGGATGTCCATGCAAACAGGCTCAGAAGAGGCTATTTTACTGATAATAATTGATTCTGTTCTCCCCTTTTGTCTTTAGGCACTTTAATAATTACAGATTTCTGAATCACAATTAAGGCAAAAAGATCTAGGAGGATACCTTGGTTTGAATATCCCCTCCAAAACACCTGTTAAAATTGGGTCTCTCATGTGGCAGTATTGTGAGGAGGACCTTTAAGAAGTGTTTGAATCACAAAGGCTCTGCCTTCTTTAATGAATTAATCCATTCATGAATGAATGGATGAAGGGTTAATGAATGAATGGGTTACCATGGGAAGGAAACTGATAGTTTAATAAGAAGAGGATGAGAGAGCTGAACTAGCACATTAGCATACTCAGCCCCATGCCTTGTGATACCCTGCACTGCCTCAGGAAACTGCAGAGAGACCCCACCAGCAAGAAGGCTCTCACTGAATGTGCCTTATCAATCTTGTGATTTCCAGCCTCCATAACTGTAAGAAATAAATTATTTTTCCTTGATAACTTGTTTAGTTTCAGACATTATTATAGCAACAATAAATGGACTATAACAGGGGAATTTGATGATCATAGTTAGGTTTTAGGTAAAAAGAGCTTTAGCATATTTTGTAACTATGTGCAAAGCATTCTAACAGCAGAAAGTGCATTGCAACAGATCACACCCATGAGGGATGCAGTATTCTTGCCTCCAGTAGAGTTAAAGCTGACTAGGATGATAAAGTAAGTGCCTAATTATTCTTCATTCATGAGTTTATTCAGCAAATAATCATTGAACATCTTTGCGATCATTCCCAGGTGCATCCAGAATGTTTTTTTCATCTCTGATTTGTAATGCCTTATTTGATCATGTCAGAATGATCTGATGTCTTTCATAAACCCCTTTCATTTTCGAGAAAGGAAGTATTTATGATCTTTTCATATGCACACACACATTCACATACACACATTCACACCATCTTCTAAAAATAAAGATTATGTAGATTTTACCAAGTTCTACCCACATCCTCTCAAATCCCTTTACTATCTCTGTGCACACTGGCCCTGCTGTGCTTTCACCCCAGAAGACAGCAGCTATGTCTGTTTATTGACGACTGTTTTCAGAGAATTCTGATTATTCAAGGCCAGATATACTTTTTCTATTTTTAGATCAACTACTAGTGAATTTTAACCATATTCCTCCCTCCTTGTATGACTTTCCCAAAAGCCTATACAAGTTAATATTCTCGATTTTTCCTACCATTTCATTTCATATTAAAACATTTGTGAATATACATTGTGGGTCCCAAGTTACATGGCAGTTTAAATGTATAATTGATATGGTTTGGCTGTGTCCCCACCGAAATCTCATCTTGAATTGTAGCTCCCATAATTCCCATCTTTTAGGGGAAGGACCTGGTGGTGGGTAATCGAATCATGGGGGTGTATCTTTCCCATGCTGTTCCCATGATAGTGAATAAGCCTCACTAGATCTGATGGTTTTATAAAGGGGAGTTCCCCTACACAAGCTCTCTTGCCTGCCACCATGTAAGATGTGACTTTGCTTCTCTTTCACCTTCAGCCAGGATTGTGAGGCCTCCCCAGCCATGTGAAACTGTGAGTCAATTAAACCTCTTTTCTTTATAAATTACCAAGTTTCGGGTATGTCTTTGTGAGCAGCATGAGAAAAGATGGTAAATTGGTATGGGTGAAATGGGGTGCTGTGGTAAAGATACCCCAAAATGTGGAAGTAACTTTGGAACTGGGTAACAGGCAGAGGTTGGAACAGTTTGGAGGGGTCTGAAAAAGACGATGTGGGTAAGTGTGGGACTTTCTAGAGACTTGCTGAATGGCTTTAACCAAAATGCTGATAGTGATATGCACAATAAATTCCAGGTTGAGGTGGTCTCAGATGGAGATGAGGAACTTGTTGACAACTGGACCAAAGGTGACTCTTGCTATGTTTTAGCAGAGAGATTCATGGCATTTTGCAACTGCCCTAGAGATTTGTGAACTTTTAACTTAAGAGAGATGATTTAGGGCATCTGGAGGAAGAAATTCCAAAGGACAAAGTGTTCAAGAGGTGAATTGGGTACAGCTAAAAGCATTCAGTTTTATGATTTACAAAGATATGGTTAGGAATTGGAACTTATGTTTAAAGGGGAAGCAGAGCATAGAAGTTTGGAAAATTTGCCACCCAATGATGCAATAGAAAAAAAAATGCTCATTTTCTGAGAAGAAATTTAAGCCTGCTGCAGAAATATGCATAAGTAATGAGGAGCCAAACGTTAATCACCAAGACAATGGAGAAAATGCCCCAGGGCATGTACGAGATTTTCTTGGCAGCCCCTTCCATCATAAGCCAGGAGGCCTAGGAGGAAAAAATGGTTTCATGGGCCAGACCCATGGCCTGATGCTTTGTGCAGTCTTGGGACTTGGTGCTCTTTGTCCTAGCCATGGCTAAATGGGGCCAATGTAGAGCTCAGGCCATTGCTTCAAATGGTGCAAGCCCCAAGCCTTGGCAGCTTACACATGGTGTTGGGCCTGTGGGTGCACAGAAGTCAAGAATTGAGGTTTGAGAACCTCTGACTACATTTCTGCTACCTGGATGTCCAGGCAGTGGTGTGCTACAGGGGTCGGGCCCTCATGGAGAATCTCTGCTAGGGCAGTGCAGAAGGAAAATGTTGGGTTGGAGCCCCTACACAGAGTTATTATTGTGACACTGCCTAGTGGAGCTGTAAGAAGAAAGCCACCCTCCCCCAGAACCCAGAATGGTAGATCCACCAATGTCTTGGACCGGGCACCTGGAAAAGTGCAGACATTCAATGCCAACACATGAAAGCAGCCAAGAGGGGAGCTGTACCCAACAAAGCCACAGGGGAGGAGCTGCCCAAGAGCATGGGAGCCCACCTCTTGCATCAATGTGACCTGGATGTGAGACATGGAGTCAAAAGAGATCATTTTGGGACTTTAAGATTTAATGACTGCTCTATTGGATTTCAGACTTGCATGGTGCCTGTAACCCCTTGGTTTTGGCCATTTTCTCCCATTTGGAATGGGTGTACTTACCTGATGCCTATACCTCCATTGTATCTAGAAAGTAAGTAACTAATTTGCTTTTGATTTTACATGCTCTTAGATGGAAGGTACTTGCCTTGTTTCAGATGAGACTTTGGACTGTGGATGTTTGAGTTAATGCTGAAATGAGTTAAAAGTCTGGGGGATTGTTGGGAAGCCATGATTGGTTTTAAAATGTGATGACATGAGATTTGAGAGGGGCCAGAGGCAGAATGATATGGTTTGGCTGTGTTCCTACCCAAATCTCATCTTGAATTGTAGCTCCCATAATTCCCACTTGTCATGGGAGGTACTTGGTTGGAGGTAATTGAATCATTGGGGTTGGTTCTTTACCATGCTGTTCTCCTGATTGTGAGTAGGTCTCACAAGATCTGATGGTTTTATGAAGGGGAGTTCCGCTACGCAGTTATCTTGCCTGCCACCATGTAAGACACGACTTTGCTCATCATTTGCCTTCAGCTATGACTGTGAGGCCTCCCCAGCCATGTAGAACTGTGAGTCAACTAAACCTCTTTCCTTTATAAATTGCCCAGTCTCAGGTATGTCCTTATAGCAGTGTGAGAACAAACTACTACAACATTTGAGAGTACATAACAAATTTTATCCAGCTTTGAGTGGAGGGTTCCTCACTGCCCTGCTTCCTCTACTGGTTACATCAACACTTCAGGGTCTGTTATTCTGTATCAGTTCAAATTAAGGTTTAATTAAGATAATTAATTATCTAACATAATAAGTCAGAGGTAAGTAATACAGGGTTAGAGTCCTCAGGACCAAAGGTAGATTTTTTCAACAATCTGCCAAATGTAATCTCCATGGTTGCCTGATAGATCTTCCACAAATTACAGCCATACCTTTCAGATATTGTAGATTCAGTTTCAATTACCATAATAAAGCAAATATTGCGATAAAGCAAGTCACACAATTTTTTTGGTTTCCTGGTGCATATAAAAATATGGTAATACTATAATGTAGTCTATTAACTGTTCAATAGCATTTTTCTGAAAAAAGTACATACTTTTTCTAGAAAATGGTTTATTGCTAAAAAGTGTTAACATCTATCTGAGTCTTTCATCAATGTTCTTAACTATATATTCTGCTAATACCTTATTTGATCATGTTGAGATTATCTGTTGTCTTTCCTAAACCCTCTCCATGTCAAGACCAAGAAGTATTGATGGCTTTTTTGCACACTCACATACATACACACACTCTGATAATAATATTAAAGTTTATAGCAGATGCTGCCAGAGTTCTACCCACATCCTTTCAATTCCCTTTACACTACTTGATCAGCACTTGCTGCAGCTTCTACATGAGCACGTTCTGCTTCACCTTGCACTATTATGTTATGGAGATGGCTCTTTCTTTGAACCTCACTTAAACTAACCTCTGCTACTTTTTATTTCTTTTTTTTTTTTTTTTTTTTTGAGACAGTCTCATTCTGTCCCAGGCTAGTGTGCAGTGGTGTGATCTTGGCTCACTGCAACCTCCACCTGTCAAGTTCAAGCGATTCTCCTGCCTCAGCCTTTTGAGTAGCTGGGATTACAGGAACCTGCCACCACGCCCGGCTAATTTTTGTATTTTTAGTAGAGACGGCGTTTCTTTTATTTTAACTTTTATTTTTATTTGAACACTTAGAAACCATTGTAGGGTTATTGCTAGACCTAATTTAAATATTGTTGTGTCTCAGGGAATATGGAGACCTAAAGAGAGGCAGTCTTAAATACAGGGATGGCCAGGCAGTAGATCAGTCAGGACACAAATGATATTTATTCATTAAGATCACCAAGTTTATGGACACCCTTTGTGGGATCACAAAACAATTAAAATAGTTACGTCAAAGATCACTTATCACTGATCACCATAACAAATATAATATTGAAAAAGTTTTAATTATTATTAAAATTACCAAAATGTGACACAGAGATCCTAAGTGATCAAATGCTGTTGGAAAAAATGTTGCTGATAGACTTATTTGATGCAGTGTTGCCACAAACCTTCAATTTGTAAAAAACACAGTATCTGAACAGCACAGTTATGCAGAGAACAATCAAATGAGTTATGCCTGTACAAAAAAGAGGAGTTAGAAAGGTAAGAGAAAACGAACTACATTGAATAATATTTGGTAAAGAGTGATTTTGAGACATATGACTTTTAGTTAAAAATAATTGTTATAAAGGAAATTTGAGTTTTATTTGATTGTTTTAAGGTGGTCAGTCATTACTTTTTGTTTGATGTACTTAACAAAATGTCGTTCTTCAACCCTATCTAAATAATTTACAACCACCAAAAATACATAATTTTTAAAGGAACTTTAGCAAAAACTTATAGCTGGTAAAATTACAATAGATTACTACAGAAAGACAAGTTAGTTTTCTATTTTTAAAAATACTTTAAAATTTAATTTTATTACAAAAATGTTACACAATGACATTCTTGGGGGAATCCACCTTTGCTAGAAGCAGCCATCTAGCAGAAAATACTAAGGATCCAATTTTAGCTTGAAAATCTTAAGGTTCTTACTATTCATGCTTTTATTACTGTTAGAGAGATTTTACTAATCTTTCTGATTCTTTGATATTGTATCCAGTTTATTTTCTTCCAATAGCATAGAATACTATCTTGTGCCAGAAAGAGTCTAAATTTTGAAGCTTTCATTAAGCACAATTTTTTCCACTTGTAAATCATATTTATATTTTTTTTGAATCAAAGTGAAAATAAGGTAGAACATTAGAATGCATGAACAGAATTTAACTTATTCCACAAGGGATAAGGAGTTTGTATAAATCTATAAAACTTAACTTATATTTCATATGCAAAGATAGAAGTGGAAGAAACAGGCCTGAAAATATATAACCCTTTAAGTCTAAGATACTATTGTGTGTTTCATTCTTCCTGTAGGGATGACAATGAAGAAAATATAGTTGAAGGATTGCAAGTGGAGTTTAACACTATGTTGTTGTATACAAAATAAATGAACAGAGATTACTCTGTTCTTGAAATTCGAACATGAATAGAATAAAGGAATAATAAATGTGTATTTAGAGGGTTAATAAGATTTACACTTTCCCAGATCTGAACTATAAAATGTAGAATATAGCAGTATTTTTTCAATGCTGACCACTTTTATTAAATCGTCATAATTAATTGTTCTTTAAAGGTGTTTTGTCATACCTTTAATGTCAAGTCCACATATTAAAAATAACTTGAATATAGTAAAACACTATTCTGCCCACATATTAAAAGTCCACAAGCTGAAAGGACTTTTAGTTTTTTAACTATAATAATAAAGTTAAAAAGAGTCTATTTAGATCTTATTTAAAATAATTATATTTTTAAGCATGATTGTTTTCTATAGCATTTAGCTTTCATTTGAAGAAACTCAGGTTATCATGTTTCTAGTACATTATCAACTAATTTATTTCAAAAGGAAAAAATAAAATATTCTAAATAAGATCAAAATCACAAATCTTGACTCCTCTTGGAACCTTGATTTAAACTTATGAAACATTAATATGGTAGATTTTTTCCTCAGAAAAACAATTATAAAAGTAAATAATCATTTAATTTTAATATATAATGTTACAAACATTTTTTGAAATTGATAAAATACTTCTAATTCAGGGTAGAATGTAGTAGTACAGGGTAGGTTACTACTCTTCCTTCAAAAACTAGGAAGAGAAAATAAACCAAAAACAATATTGTTACAGACAGCAGGAAACTAGAAGTGATTGAGACTAGAAATAATTTCTGTAAAGAGTCCTTCTTAGTTGATCCATGATTACAGGCTATTCCCTCCGTTTAGTATTTGGCTGCGTCTGAGCATGGGCTGAAGATCAGGTATGGTTGATGCAGAGGCACTTAACTGGGGAAAAAGAAACCACCAGAGTTTGTGGGGCCAGACGGAGCTTGTGTTGCAGGTTGAAAGCGACAAGATTCTCCACACACAGCTGGTTTTTACTACAAGGCAGCACTGACATTTATGGAGCTTCAGGAGACTGTGGGCTGGACAGGAAATCAGAAGGGAATATATTGCAGTCTCAACAAGTAGAAGACGAAGTGCTACCAAAAGGAGTCCTGCCACAAGCACAAGGAACAATTTTCTCCTCAGGGAATTTGCCAGGTTTTGAAATCCGAAGTGTTTGCAGGATAAAGAATTAAGCTCAAAAGGACAGAATTTCTAAGCCCACAGTAGTAACGGCTGATTTAAATAAGACACCAATGGCAGTACAAATGAATTTACATATAACTGCTACTGCGATATAGAATAAATATTTGAAACTGCAATAAACAAGAATGAAAATCATGCCAACTCAACTTTGGTTTAAAAAGAGTTAAAATACTTTTATGCTTCTCTTTGCATTATAAAATGACCCATGAAAATCATTTAGTGATCCCTTGTTGAATCCAGGCAATATGTAAAATCAGAATAGGAATATTTTTTCCATTATTTTGTGACATCAGTTATGATACCAACTGTGAAATGATTGCAATTAAAATAATATGTTTATTTTTCTCCAAAATTTGGACATAGTAAAACACTATTCTGTATTCTGCCTTAGCTGGAGATTAAAGGCAAGGTAGAGAAAAAGGATTCATAAATGTGCCAAATCCTGAGTGAAATATTTTATATGTATCTGTTTCATTTGATCCTCAGAACCACCTGATCAACTGTATTTCTCTTTAGCTATTAAGGATCTACAACGACATTAGCAAGGTTGTTTTGTACTCTCAATAAAAGTAATAATCACTAACATTTACTGAGCCCTCATTATGTGCTAGGCAACCTGCTTAACGTTTTTCTTACATTACGTGATTTAAGCCTTAAAATAACTCAATGTTCTCGTGAAAAAAAATGAGAAAATATATGCAGAGAGGATAAGTAACTCTAGCTAATAGAAAGCTGGGATTCATAACTAGACTCATTTGACTCCAGAGTTTGCTATTAGCCTCTACATGCCATTGACTACAAGCAATCTTGCCAACATTAGTTGTAGCCATGTTTAGGTATGAAGACATAGGTAATAAGCTTACTTCAAGCATAACAAAGCCATAGTTATTTCTCTTTTAAACTAAGTATGTTAAGTTGCTGTGTGTATGTGTGTGTGTGTGTGTGTGTGTGCATGCGCACTTGGAGAGGAGAGTAAAACTTTGCAACATAAGACACCTTTATGTCCGAGTATTAGAATTTTGATGTGAGAGACTGAGAATGGGAAAATCCAACTGTCATAAATCCCACCTGTCATAAATTATCCAAAGAAATATATTGTCATTCTTTACAGGTTTTGTCAAAGACCAAGGACATTAAGATTTCTGTATCTCTATCTATATACACATATGAATGAATATATATGTTGCCGTTCTTCTATTTTACAGGAGACTTCTCAATGGAAGCAGTTGAATAAATCTGTATATATGTTTATGTATATATACATACACAAAATTTTGTATATGTGGATGTATTTTGTATATATGTATATGTGTATATAAATACATATACATAAAAATTATGTGTTAAAAATAGTGTATGTGTATGTAAATACACATGGAAACCACTTGTCTCCTTAATAATATGTGCCACACACACAGCCACACACACATCCCAAAATGTCCAATAAACATGAGAACCAAACTTATAAATTCTGCATTTTTATTTTAGGTTAAGAATAATTACAAGAGCAAAATAAAAAATAGATTATGCATAGTAATATCATTTTCAGGGAACCTGTGTTATTTTAAGACCATTGCATCAGAAACACTGAAGAGAAGAAACATTTATTAAAAACCTTCTTTTTAGTCTTAATATTGGAAATATTACCCTTATTATTTTTTCTTCATGCATAATGCACTGAAAATTGTAGGTTTGGCACTCATAGCTCATAGCATTAGACAAGTTATTTTACCCCTCTGTGACTATTTTCCTACTTATCTACAAAAAACATTCTATGAGTATTTCTCTGTCTATCTATAAAAGTTTACCAGTGCCAAAATGCTGTTGTGAGATACAGTAGAACAATCATTGCAGTAAAATGCACTTGGAATTGTGTCTGCCCATATTATTTTTCAGTGCAAAATTAGTGTTAGTTATAATAGATTCTTTATGTTCACAGATTGAGCATAGCTTCCGTTATCAACATCTTCAACAAATATTTTCTGGATTAGTGGTTATAAAATCTATGGCCATATTACTAATTTTTCTTTAATTCTGTTTTCAAGCTAGTTGCCTTTGAGCCAGAATTGTCGACAGAGAAAGCAATATCTCTTGAATTCTTTTAATAATGTTAAGATAAAATAAGTATTCAATCTGTATAAATATGAGCTGGCTAAAAAATTGTAGGGGCTTTAGATATACAAACATTATTTATACTTTTTGAAAATAATTAAGTGTTCCATTATGAAACTTCCAGTTTCATATATTTCAGAAATATTCTTTCTGTAGATAACATATGTGATTTATTAGTTTATGTAAATATATTATATTGGTTTAAATGAATTGTGTTAGCTCAGAAAAATAACTAAATGAAAGTAATCAGAATAAACAATTCCACCCTCTGCCACAGCCCTTTTGGAAATGAGTACGGAGAGGGAGAAATAATGCATTTGATTATTTTCTCCCACCTAGCTTTATGCCATGGCAGTGGTGAATGTGCAGCTGTATCAAGAAAGGAAAGAAAACACCACACTCTTATTTCTCCCATGAGCTCTTCAGGAGATTACAGACTTTTTCTATTGAAAGAGTAGTTATTTTAACCCCGTGAAATGTTTTCTCCATAAACTGTGCACCCTTCACACACTTTCCAGAAGTAAAAAGACATTAACATAAAAGATTCTCTGTAAGAAGAACATGAGATAAAAAATTTGGTGTGACCTTTTTTTTGCATTTTTTTTTCTATTATTTCCAATGGCCAGGAGCAAATTTCACCCTTGGTATAACCGTGAATGACAGAGAAAGAAAAATCAAGTATATGCCAGATGAATATAAGCTTCATTCCTTTATAGATATTGTGTATTTTTTAGAGAAAAGGGTAAAACTAAAAGAACAATTTTTAATTTTTTTCACTTGGAATTTCTTTAATAAAGATGAACCTGACTAATTATTGAGCTTTGTATTTGCGTATTTCAAAGAAATGAAAATATCACAATAGATGAATTCATTACAATTTAACCTCAAGCCTATTTTTATTTCACTAGAAACCAATATAATTGACATAGGCCAGTATCATTCTCGTAAAAACTATAAACTGTACATACTTACCATTATATTATGCACACAGATCAATTTACTTCATTCTAACTGAGCCCTCAAACAAACTTTTGTTTTCCCTGTGGTTATCAGATCTCTCACAAACCATTAAATATGATATATTGTTTAATAATTCTGTTTTGCAAGCACTATGTTTTAGGTACAAATCAGTGTAATATTTGTTAATCTTACTATAACTTATGCCAAATAAGTTAAATTTTATTTATTCTATCCCCTGGAACTTTAAGCATCTAAATTACTGAAGGTGAGCTTAATAATGCTCTTTAATCAAATATATATTGGAAAACATGCCTAACTTTGGCAGATGATGGATGATAGGCAGATGGATAGATAATAGATAGATAGATAAATAGGTAGATAGATAGATAGATAGATAAGGCAACTTTTTATTGTAATTTAAAGTCAATATTTAGAAGTACTGAAAATTATACAGACATTTTTGTTATGGGAGATTTTTAATATGTTTTGGAAAATGGTCTGTGGAGGGCACATTTTTAAAAATCCATTCACAGTAAATATATATCTAACAAGGAAGGATTTAGTTTTAATAATAATGCACAATAAAAGACATGGAATCAATCTAAATGCCCATCAATGACTGATGGGATAAAGAAAATGTGGTACATATACATGATGGAATACTATGCAGCCATAATAAAGAATGAGATCACGTCTTTTGCAGGAAAATGGATGCTGCTGGAGGCTATTATCCTCAGCAAAGTAACATAGGAAGAGCAAACCAAATACCACATGTTCTCACTTATAACTGGGAGCTAAATAACAATAACTCAAGCACATAAAGAGGGGAACAACAGACACTGGGGCCTACCTAAGTGTAAAGGGTGGGAGGAGTGATAGGATCAGAAAAATGTAACTACTGGGTACTGGGTTTTGTACTTGGGTGACAAAATAATCTGAAACACAAACCCTTGTAACACAAATTTACTTATATAACAAACCTTCCCATGTACCCCTAAACCTAAAAATAAATAAATAAATCATACTAAAACATACTTTAGGGTGAACATAAAAGAAAGGATTTATTAATCTCCTCAAAAGTATGTTCACACTTCAAGCAAAGGTTTTCATTTTGAGCACTGACTATTAGTCAATCTTTATCCTCATATTAAAACATAATAATAATGCACAATATAATAAAGAGTATGAGAGCTTTTCTGAATGTTAATTTGAATTTTAGAAAGTTAATGACTTAGCAAAATTATTGAAGATATCAATAGCTGTGATGTTGAAGTTATTCGTGTTCATATTCATTTCTGATTTTGGTTGTTGACATGATGTCAACCCCAAATTTGAGCTGTAAACGAAGAAAATCAGACATCAAATTATCTCATCTATAGAACATGAAGTTCTATCAATGCTCTGTAAGAAATTACCAATTGGACTGATATGACTCTAAGAAAAGCTGGTTATTCTTAGGAGCAGCTCTGTCATGAACTAACAGACATGAGTCCATCTTGGATCTCACTGTGACCTTCACTACCTTATCTCACAAAAATGCTTATGGACCCTTCTCACTCACAGCCATGGACTTCTGAGTTACTATGTGATGCAGCCATAACAGTTTTTCTATTACTTCTCCCATTACTTTTGAATTAAGATGTCTAGGCTCTATCAGCAGGTCAATTAAATCAGAAACTCTAGGTTAGAACTTGGCATTAGTATTATTTATAATACCTCAGGTAATTCCAAAGTGCAACCAGGATTAAGAATCAGGTGATCTATATGAATTCTAGATATATCTTATCCAGTCCCATAGATTCAAATACCATAAATATGCTTATAATTTACAACTTATAATATTCATCTCCCTTGAGTCACATGTCTAATTACCTACTTAAAATACTCACTTGAATGTCTTGTAGGAATCTCAGCATTACTTGTTCACAGTAGAACTCTTGATTTCCCCCACCCTGTCCCAAACCTGCTTTTACCCAGAGTTCTCAAGCTCAGAAATGAGTACCTTCTATGATAATTTGTTCAAGCCCCAAACCCTAGAGTCACCTTTAATTTATCTCTTCCATTCTTGTTCCATTTCTAATTCCATAGTATATTCTGTTGGCATATTTAAAATGCAAGCCAAATTTAATCAACGCTCACCACCTGTATTCTAATCTAATCAAGATTTTCCCATTCTGGTGCCAGAACACCTGTTGCAGTTATGCTGAGATATTGATCCTTTTAATGTATGTGAGCAGCTGATAAGACCCGGAGGAGTTACAGCACCAGAGCTTATCCTGTCTCTCTTAGAGAAGCTCTGTCCACACTTTCCCAGGACTACTGTGGTAGTTTTCTAACTAGTTCTCCTGGTTTTATTTTCAATCCTCTACAGTTATTTTCAAAACGGAAAATACAATATTTGAAAACAATAATACCAATTATAATACTCTCCTGTTCAGATCCTTTATTTGTCTCTCATCACCAGGGCCCCACCTATTTCTCTAACTTCATCTCTCTGCTTCTCTCCCCTAGTGACATCCAACTTCTTGCCGATCCTAAAAAGTGCCAAGCTTGTTTCTCCACGGAAGATCTTGGTACTCTAGATTATTGCATGGTTTATTACCTCATTTAATTTAGGTATCTGCCTTATGATACCACTCAGAGAGGGCCTTCCCAATCACGTCTCCCCTCATTATGTTTGTTCATGCCAGAGATTATTGCTATATGTTAAGTATGTGTTTTTCGCTTATGAAGTTTGTCTCTCCAAAAATTACAGAAGCTCAATAAATGCAAAGACAATGTTCACTGCTATATCTTGAGCATCTACAACAAGCACCAGTTATAAGTATGTTTTGAATAAATGAATGAATGTATCTGTATCTGATTATCAGGCCATACTACTTCTCCTTCTCCTTGTAAAACTCTCTAAATAACTTTTCTGACTTCCTGAGCATTTGGAGCTAGAGACGACTGTTAAATTGATTGTTGTTCCTAATGGCAACAGACATTATTCAAAAAAATACATAAAAAGTGCTTTTAAAATCAGAGCAAAGTTAAAGGGAACTTTCAGGATCACTAAATAACTTATTTCATTAAATAACTTTCAGGTTATTTAATCATTTGCAAATTAAAGCCAATTAGTGTCCTGAGAAATATTTTCAGCTGATTTCCTAAAGAGTCGATACCAAATTTATTTAAATAGAACCTTTACAGAGGTAGCCTAATAGTCAGCTTCTCCAGAGGCTCACATTTTCCTGAAAAAAAAGATGAATAATTTTAGCTATTCAATATGTAATTTTGTATTCCACAAACCCAAAATCTTTTGTGGTTAGTATTTTGATTTACTAGTACCTTGTAAACAGCTATATAGATTAAGTTACCATTATTTCTTTACATTTCTATTTGCTAACAATTATGACAATGGCATGATTTGGAAAATGTAATATCAGGCTATATTTAATCCAAAGCAATCTATGCCCAAATAGACATGTAGAAACAGCATGAAAAGAAGTTGAAAATAATTAACAAAATGGATTAATTGCATTTTAAATGGAACAGACATTTAGTATGGATACCTGGATGATGCTCTAATTATTATCTTTTCAAAAATTAAAAATCAAGTAAGCCTTGCAAGTAGTTAAACATTATTATTCTGGATTCATTTTAATTAATAGAAGAACAGTCAATAATACTTCTAGAGTCCTAACATAATGTTTTGAGATTATGTTGTAGCTGAATTACTTGGATAATTATTTACTGCCTTATTTGACTATCTACTTATTTAAAAAAAAAAAGAAAAAAATTGCTTGCTGATGGTGTTAACGGAACACATTCAATTGCAAGCTCATATTTTTAATACTTGAACTTATCAATGTGTTATTCAAACAGCCTACATAAATTAATATTATTTGTCCAATCATTTCTTCACCAAACACAGAATCATTTCTAGAACAAATTTAAAATCAGTGTTTCATTTTGCAAGATTTAGCTTACAGAATATTTTATTCTTAATTGTTTCATTCTTTTTAATTCATGTTATCTTCTTGATCACAGACTGTAACTTAAAAAAGAGTGAGGACTTTATCATTTTTATTTTTGTATATACTCTACCTTCTTTCAAGATATCTAAAATACGTTGAAAACACATGGTTTTTATATTGAATATTTTCTTTTAGTGCTTTTGTGATTTGCAGCCTTTGTATTAGAATATGCTGAATTCTCAGCCGGTAGATTTGTAAATAATTGTGTTATGAAGTATTAGAAGGATGTATTTAGAATTTCAGGTTGAGAAGACTGAGAAGGAGATAATTATCTGTATTCACGTAGCAAAAGAGGCATAGGAAACATATATATTTATGCATATTCATGAATGTACATATTTACATACATAAGTACACATGCATTCAGAGAAGACAAGTGTAGAATTTATAAATTAATGATGATGTTATTTGGCTATAGGAGGTGGTTGTACAATAAATCTTCATAAGGGTAAAAAAAATCAGAATATTATCACAACATGACCAGGCAGCTTTTGTTCTAAACAATGCTGGAAGTAAAGAAAAAGGTAACTGGATTTCTGACAAAATCAACTGTAATGTTTAGTCAAGTAAAATATGTAACATTTATGAAGAGATAAATGGCTCTTTTGATCATTATATGTCTGTGAATGTCAGGTGGAAGAAAGGTCACAAGTGTAAAACTGATAGTATTTACTACAAGAATGTATGTGACTAGGCACTAACTGGTTTTTGCTGACTCAGCACTGATTTTGAAATCAATAAGTTAATTTGTGTTAAAGTTATTACTCTTGCTGTTATATTTCTGTTATAAGAAAATTCCAGCTGTTAGGTATTTTGATCCAACATAGAAGACTCAGTTCTTGGTAAATATATTTAGTAAAGAGTGACAAATTATTTTATCTATAATGAATATTAACTATTGTAATCAAACAATAGTTTTACTACAGAAAGCAAGCAAGTGGAGCCAAATGATATCTAAATCCTCCTACTTTTTTTAGGCAAAAATATATCACATACTTTCTAGTGTAACTTTTAACATGCTTTCATATAAGATATTTCTCAAAAATTTAATCCAATCAGGAAACAAATTTGTGTTTACTCTTCTTATATTTTAACATCAAAAATTATTTAGTCAATATTTTATATTGTTATATCTTCAGAAATAACAATATAATACAGGTAGAGCTTTCCTAATCGAAAAACCTGAAATCCAAATGTAAAACATTTTTTAATCATCATGATTCTACAAGGAATATATTCTGAAACTTTTATACATTGCTGGTAGAAATGCAAAATGTTACAAATGTTTTCCTTAAGTTTTAACAGTTTGGGCAGTTTTCTAGAAAGAAAGTATAATACTCCTATGCAAGTATGTGACATTTTTGGGGCATGTTTTGAAGATATCTTTTATTAAGTTTGAGGAAGGTCTCTTCCATTCTTGGGTTACTAATAATCTGTATCTCAAACGGATGTTAAATTTTATCAAAGGCTTTTTTTCTGAATCATTTATTTTTATAATCTTTTTTTTCTTCTTTAGTCTGTTGGATGGCTATTTATGTGGATCGAATTCTGATTCTTGAATCAGCTTAGTATTCCAAGGAGAAACTCTACTTTGTCATACTATATTATTTTTTCCATGTATTATGGGATATGTTTGCAGGCATTTTGTTGAGAATTTTTGCCAATATGTTGTAAGCAATATTAGTCTATAGTTTTCACTTCTGTAATTTCTCTATTTGTTTTTCAGATAATGCTGGTCACCCTCTCAATATTCTTATTTTTTTAGACTTGATATTATTTCTTTTTTGAAGTTTGGTAGAATTCACAAGTGAAAACATTGGGATATGGAGGTTATTTGGTGCAAGGTTTTTAGCTAGAAATTCAATTTCTTTAGTAGATAGTATTATTCACATTTTCTATATCTTCTTCAGTGAACTTAGGCAGTTTGTTTTAACGCATTTATCCATTGCGTCTAAGTTGTCTTATTTATTGATATAGAGTTATTTTTGATATTCCTTTATTTTGCTCTTAATATCAATAGGGTTTGCAGGAGTGCTCCCTTTTTTATTCCTGGTATTATTCATGAATTTTCTCTTATATTCCTAATCAATCTTATTCAATATTTTTCTGTTTTATATTTTAAAGGAATGACTTTTGATTTTATGGATTCTTTCTTTCCACTATTTTGCTTTTACCTGCTTTTAATTTTATTGACTTCTGTTCTTTAGTTTGTTCCGGGTTTATGCTTTTCTATACCTTGTGTCTGAATGTGGAATCTTACTTTGAAAGTTTTCTTCCTTTCTAATACAAGCATTTAATATCATAATTTTATCAATAAACATTGTTCAAGCTACATCGTACATATTTAATATGTTGAGTTTCCATTTTTATTCATTTCAAAACATTTTCTTATTTTCTGTAAGTTTTTCCTTTTGACCCATGTGTTAAAGAAAAATGTGCTGTGTATTTTCAAAATATTTGGATAGATGTCTAGTTTAGTTATCTTTCCCTTAATGATTATTAACTTTATTCCAGTATGGTATAAGATCATACTTTTCAGAATTTCAACTATTGTATGCATTAGATTTTTTGTAATACCCCAAATGTGGTCAGTCTTGGAAAATTTTCCATGCAAATTAAAAAATAACAATAACTATGTTGTTATTGTTGTCTGCAGTGTTACTGTTTAGGTCAAGTTGGTTGGCACCATTGCTTACCTTTTCTGTTTCTTTTTTGTTAACTTTTATTTTGTTCAAGGGTTCATGCACAGCTTTGTTATATAGAAAAACTAATCCCACGGTTGTTTGATTTACAGATTATTCCATCACCCACTAAGTTATTTTTTCCTATCCTCTTCCTCCTCCTACCCTCTACCACCAAGTAGGCCACAGTGCCAGTTGTTCCCCTCTATATGTCCATGTGTTCTCACCATTTAGCTCCCACTTATAAGTGAGAACATGCAGCATTTGATTTTCTGTTTCTGTATTAGTTTGCTAAGGATAATGGCCTCCAGCTCTTTCCATATTCCTGTAAAAGTTGTGATCTCATTCTTTTTTATGGCTGCATAGTATTTCATGGTGCATATGACCCTATTTTCTTTATCTAGTCTGCCATTGATGGACATTTATTAATAGGTTGATTCCACATCTTTGCTATTGTGAACAGAGCTGCAATGAACATATGTGTGTACGTGTCATTATGGTAGAATGATTTATATTTCTTTGGATATACCCAGTATTGGGACTGCTAGGTCAAATGGTAGTTCTGTTTTTAGTTATTTGAGGAATTGCCACACTGCTTTCCAAGATGAACTAATTTGCACTCCCACCAACAGTGTATAAGTGCTCTCCTTTCTCTGAAACCAAGCCAGAATTCGTTATTTATTTATTTTTTTTACTTTTTAGTAATAGCCATTCTGATTGGCGTGACATCGTATCTCATTGTAGTTTTGATTCACATTTCTCTGATTATTAGTGATATTGAGTGTTTTTTCATATGCTTATTGGCTACCTATTCTATCCCTTTACTGGTTTTCTGTCTACTCGTTATATCTGTTACCAAGGAAAGAGTATGCATGTCTTCAACTATAATTTAGATTTGACTATTTTTCTTTAAATTCTGTGAGTTTTTGATTCGCATTTTTTTAAGTTCTCATTTTAGCTGTATTTATTCTTAGGCATGATGTTATGTCTTCATGAAAAATTGACTCTATAATCATCGAATATATCACTGTATTTCTCATAATATTCCACTTCCTAAGTTCTAATTTTTCTGATATTTCTGTAGAGAGTAACCGATTAGTGTTTTCTGGCCATATTTTTTCACAGTTTTTCTTTTAACCTGTATCTATCTTTATATTTAAAAATGAGTTTCATGTAGATAGACTATAACTCTTACTTTAATTTTAATGTGAAAACATGTCCTTTAGTTAGTGCTTAGCTCATTTACATTCAAGGCAAGTATCATTAAGATTGGATAACAGCCACTGGTACCATCCTAGTGGCAGTTTTCTAAATGTTTCATGCTTTTATTATTTTTTTCTGTATTGTCAGCTAAATGAAAATTAATTTTCATAATTAATTTATGGCTTTGTAAATCTTAATGCCTGGCTAAATATTAATACACTTTTTTCTATTTTTAACATATTTTCTCCAGCATTTGCAGCCAATTCTATTTTAGAGCCATTAAAATGAGAAATATAACTTAATGCTCACTTTCACATATTACATTTAAATGGGTTTCATTTATTTATGCAGATTCATGTTTCTTTTTTGTGTCAGTTTTACTACCTGAAGAAGTTTCTTAAATGTCTGCTATAGTGTCTTATTATTTTTTGTATGTTTACTCTAACAATATAACACAAATTAGTTGATTTAACACAATCCTTTATTACTAAATGTTCTGGAGGCCTACAATATGAAATCAGCAACACTAGCCTGATATCAAAATGTTGGCAGGGCTTTATTCCATCCAAATATGGCTCTAGAGAAGAATCTCTTTCTGCACTCTCATTTTCTGATGGTTACTGGCATTCTTTGGTTTGTGGCACCATGAATCCAATCTCTGCATTCACGGTCACATTCCTTTCTCCTCCCTCATATTTCTTTCTGTTTCTTTCCCTTTTATCCACATAATTCAGGAAAATCTTTCTAGTGTAGGATCCTTAAGTGAATCATATATGCAAAGTCTTTGCCGTATAAGATAACTTTCACAGGTTTCAGGGATTAGGACATAGACACCTTTGGTTAGGGGTGAGGGGATTATTCAGTCTACCACATAGCGCATTGATACTGGAAGGTTTTTGTCAGATACACCCTTATTGCTTTTACATTTTTGAAGGTATTTTTGCTGTTATTAAAATTGAAGGTTGACTTTTAAAAAAAGTCTTTCTGTCTTTTATTTATGAATTCATTATTTTCTGGCCTACATAAATCTGCTTCCATTCTTATCTCTGTTTGTTCTCTCTCCCTGCATTCAAGAGTTTTGTTCAATTTTTTTCTGTTTTCTTCATCATAAAATGGCATGTTTATGTGTGTATGCGTTTGTGTATGTTTGTGTGCAAAGAAGTATTTATCTTCTCTCTTGTTATCTAAGTTTATTGGATCTGTGGTTTGTGTCTGTCATTAATTTTGTAAAGTTCATAGCCATTATTTCTTCAAATATTTTGTCTGCCCCATTATCTCTCTCTTTCAACTTTTGGATTTCCTATTGCATTTACATTGAATCATGAGATTTCTCATAGCTTTTGGATGCTCTATTCTAGGATGTTTTTTGTAAAATTTTTTCTTCTTTGGGTTTCATTTGCGTGATTTCTTTTATCTTCAAGTCCACTGATCCTTTCTTGACTTTCAAGTTTATAAATGAACCCCTCAAAGACATTCTTGATCTCATACTATGAGTTTTTAGAAATTATTTATAGCATTTCGATTTGATTCTTTCCATCTCCCTACCTAAGTTACCCACTAGCTCATTGGCCACATTTTTCCACTAGAACATTTTTTTTTAAATTATACTTTAAGTTTTAGGGTACATGTGCACAACGTGCAGGTTTCTTACATATGTATACATGTGCCATGTCGTTATGCTGCACTCATTAACTCGTCATTTACATTAGGTGTATCTCCTAATACTATCCCTCCCCACTCCCCCACGCCACAACAGGCCCCAGTGTGTGATGTTCCCCTTCCTATGTCCAAGTGTTCTCATTGTTCAATTCCCACCTGTGAGTGAGAACATGCGGTGTTTGTTTTTTTGTCCTTGCGATAGTTTGCTGAGAATGATCGTTTCCAGCTTCATTCATGTCCCTACAAAGGACATGAACTCATCCTTTTTTATGGCTGCATAGTATTCCATGGTGTATATGTGCCACATTTTCTTAATCCAGTCTATCATTGATGGACATTTGGGTTGGTTCCAAGTCTTTGCTGTTGTGAATAGTGCTGCAATAAACATACGTGTGCATGTGTCTTTATAGCAGCATGATTTATAATCTTTTGGGTATATACCCAGTAATAGGATGGCTAGATCAAATGGTATTTCCAGTTCTAGACCCTTGAGGAATCACCACACTGTCTTCCACAATGGTTGAACTAGTTTACAGTCCCACCAACGGTGTAAAAGTGTTCCTATTTCTCCACATCCTCTCCAGCACCTGTCGTTTCCTGACTTTTTAATGATCGCCATTCTAACTGGTGTGAGATGGTATCTCATTGTGTTTTGATTTGCATTTCTCTGATGGCCAGTGATGATGAGCACTTTTTCATGTGTCTGTTGGCTGCATAAATGTCTTCTTTTGAGAAGTGTCTGTTCATGTCCTTTGCCCACTTTTTGATGGGGTTGTTTGTTTGTTTCTTGTAAATTTGTTTGAGTAATTTGTAGATTCTGGATATTAGCCCTTTGTCAGATGAGTAGATTGCAAAAATTTTCTCCCATTATGTAGGTTGCCTGTTCACTCTGATGGTAGTTTCTTTTGCTGTGCAGAAGCTCTTTAGTTTAATTAGATCCCATTTGTCAATTTTGTCTTTTGTTGCCATTGCTTTTGGTGTTTTAGACATGAAGTCCTTGCCCATGCCTATGTCCTGAATGGTATTGCCTAGGTTTTCTTCTAGGGTTTTTATGGTTTTAGGGCTAACATTTAAGTCTTTAATCCATCTTGAATTAATTTTTGTATAAGGTTTAAGGAAGGGATCCAGGATCCAGCTTCAGCTTTCTACATATGGCTAACCAGTTTTCCCAGCACCATTTATTAAATAGGGAATCCTTTCCCCTTTTCTTGCTTTTGTCAGGTTTGTCAAAGAGCAGATGGTTGTAGATGTGTGCTATTATTTCTGAGGGCTCTGTTCTGTTCCATTGGACTATATGTCTACTTTGGTACCAGTACCATGCTGTTTTGGTTACTGTAGCCTTGTAGTATACTTTGACGTCAGGTAGTGTGATGCCTGCAGCTTTGTTCTTCTGGTTTAGGGTTGACTTGGCAATGCGGGCTCTTTTTTGGTTGCATATGAACTTTAAAATAGGTTTTTTCAATTCTGTGAAGAAAGTCATTGGTAGCTTGATGGGGATAGCATTGAATCTATAAATTACCTTGGGAAGTATGGCCATTTTCACAATATTGATTCTTCCTATCCATGAGCATGGAATGTTCTTCCATTTGTTTGTGTCCTCTTTTATTTCGTTGAGCAGTGGTTTGTAGTTCTCCTTGAAGAGGTCCTTCACATCCCTTGTAAGTTGGATTCCTAGGTATTTTATTCTCTTTGAAGCAATTGTGAATGGGAATTCATTCATGATTTGGCTCCCTGTTTGTCTGTTATTGGTGTATAAGAATGCTTGTGATTTTTGTACATTGATTTTGTATCCTGAGACTTTGCTGAAGTTGCCTATCAGCTTAAGGAGATTTTGGGCTGAGACAATGGAGTTTTCTAGATATACAATCTTGTCGTCTGCAAATAGGGACAATTTGACTTCCTCTTTTCCTAATTGAATACCCTTTATTTCTTTCTCCTGCCTACTTGCCCTGGCCAGAACTTCCAACACTATGTTGAATAGGGGTGGTGAGAGAGGGCATCCCTGTCTTGTGCCAGTTTTCAAAGGGAATGCTTCCAGTTTTTTCCCATTCAGTATGATATTGGCTGTGGGTTTGTCATAAATAACTCTTATTATTTTGAGATACATCCCATGAGTACCTAATTTATTCAGAGTTTTTAACATGAAAAGCTGTTGAATTTTGTTAAAGGCCTTTTCTGCATCTATTGAGATAATCAAGTGATTTTTGTCTTTGGTTCTGTTTATGTGCTGGATTACATTTGTTGATTTGCATATGTTGAACCAGCCTTGCATCCCAGGGATGAAGCCCACTTGATCATGGTGGATAAGCTTTTTGATGTGCTGCTGGATTCGGTTTGCCAGTATTTTATTGAGGAGTTTTGCATCGATGTTCATGCACCCAATACAGGAGCACCCAGATTCATAAAGCAAGTCCTTAGAGACCTACAAAGAGACTTAGACTCCCACACAATAATAATGGGAGACTTTAACACCCCACTGTCAACATTAGACAGATCCATGAGACAGAAAGTTAACATGGATATCTAGGAATTGAACTCAGCTCTGCACCAAGCGGACCTGGTAGACATCTACAGAACTCTCCACCCCAAATCAACAGAATATACATTCCTCTCAGCACCACATCACACTTATTCCAAAATTGACCACATAGTTGGAAGTAAAGCACTCCTCAGCAAATGTAAAAGAATAGAAATTATAACAAACTGTCTCTCAGACCACAGTACAATCAAACTAGAACTCAGGATTAAGAAACTCACTCAAAACTGCTCAACTACATGGATACTGAACAACCTGCTCCTGAATGACTACTGTGTACATAAAAAAATGCAGGCAGAAATAAAAATGTTCTTTGAAACCAATGAGAACAAAGACACAACATACCAGAATCTCTGAGACACATTTAAAGCAGTGTGTAGAGGCAAATTTATAGCACTAAATGCCCACAAGAGAAAGCAGGAAAGATCTAAAATTGACACCTTAACAGCACAATTAAAAGAACTAGAGAAGCAAGAGCAAACACATTGAAAAGCTAGCACAAGGCAAGAAATAACTAAGATCAGAGCAGAACTGAAGGAGATAGAGACACAGAAAACCCTTCAAAAAATCAATGAATCCAAGGGCTGGTTTTTTGAAAAGATCAACAAAATTGATACACCACTAGCAAGACTAATAAAGAAGAAAATGGAGAAGAATCAAATAGATGCAATAAAAAAATGACAAAGGGGATTTCACCACCGATCCCACAGAAATACAAACTACCATCAGAGAATACAATAAACACCTCTACGCAAATAAACTATAAAATCTAGAAGAAGTGGATAAATTCCTCGACACATACACCCTCCCAAGGCTAAACCAGGAAGAAGTTGAGTCTCTGAATAGACCAATAACAGGCTCTGAAATTGAGGCAGTAATTAATAGCTTACCAACCAAAAAAATCCAGGAACAGACGGATTCACAGCCGAATTCTACCAGAGTTACAAGGAGGAGCTGGTACCATTCCTTCTGAAACTATTCCAATCAATAGAAAAAGAGGGAATCCTCCGTAACTCATTTTATGAGGCCAGCATCATCCTGATACCAAAGCCTGGCAGAGACACAACAAAAAAAGAGAATTTTAGACTAATATCCCTGATGAACACTAGAACATTTAATATATCAATCAGAGCAAAAGAGCTACATCTGATATTCCTAACACATGTATTATAGTAAAGTCTAATTCTTTTGATTACTTTGCATCTTCGGAATGTATTGATTGTATTGTTTTTTTTTAAAAAACCTTGTGCCATTTTGCCAAAAGCTATACATCTTGTGTACAAAAATGGAGATGGCGGTAAGTAGGTTTTATTGCTTAAAATAAACACACTTTTTATTCTTAAAAGGCCCTTAATATGAGAGTTTATATCAATATATCTAGAAATTAAACTGGGTTTTGGATATGTTTGTATGGTTTTTCTCAGTTCAAATAGGCTTCATATTCCTGTAGGATTACCTTATGTTTAGCATTTGGACTATTTTACCAGAGGTTTTTTGTCAATATATGTTTTGCCTTCAGTTTTAGATTTTCCATATTGTGATGTAGCTCAGATTTGTCTCGACATTCTTGTCCATTTTCTGTGCACATATTCCTTTTTATTTGATGTTAGCCTGGTAGAAAGAAGTAGAATATTCTTTGCTATTGTGATTAAGGCTCAGTGTTAGGTAGATGTAATATCTACCTAATACTGAATCTCATTCAGAATTATTCAACGTGGGCCTTCAGATTGGTGCATTTTCAATGAGCCTTCCCCCACATCTGCTGTATTCTGTGCCCAGCATGCATTCCTGCATAAAGCAGCCATTCTTTTCCCAGACATATATCATGAAGGATTCATTCTCAGCACTTTTGTCAGTCTCTTTCAGAAGCTTGTAATAACAACTGTGGAAATAAGACTGTGGATGGATATCAATTACTTTGTGTCTGTGGCCTCGACTGATTCACTAGCCCATTATAATTGGCCATTAGCAATTCATTAAAAATTTTAGGTGAATTCTTACTGATCTCCAGCAGTGTATGCCCCAATAAGAAAGTTTTGCTTGGAGGTTTTAGTCTTTTCTTACATTTCAGTTTAACTGGTCATCCTGTGACCACAGATTTCTTAAGGTTTTCAGAAAAGTTGTACATTTGCAGGTTATCTGTTGTATTATTGTTACAAGGATGAGAGTGATGTTCCTTCCAAATAGCTAAATACTAGGAGACATTGTATTTTTTTCTTATTAAAATGTTTATTTGCATTCCTTATATTTAGATATAGGGTACATTTTGAATAAATACTTGCGTAAGGTATGAGTTAAGGGTTATTATTATTGTTGTAATTATTATTATGTGCCTCTAGATAGTTGATTTTCATAGCATCTATTTTCGAAAGGGCTATGCTTTCCCTATTATATTAGTTAGCACTTTTATCGATATCATTTGACTGTACATGTGAGAGTCCGTTTTTAACTTTCTATTGTTTTCTATTGTTCTATATTTCTTTTGCTTTTGCCAGGAAGACATTATATTGATTAATAACACTTTTGAGTGATAATGATGTGAAGTAGTGTTAGGTTCTTTAATTGTTGTCTTTAAAAATGATTGGCTATTCTAGGGTATTTAAATTTTAATGTAAATGCAAAATCCGATTTTAAAATATATACAAAAAATCCTCCTGATATTTTTGATTGGAATTATATTCAATTTATAGATTATTCGGTGGTTACTGAATGTCTTAAAAGTAAAGTCTTCTGATCAATTGATTTAATATATTTATTGTATTCAAATATTCTCTTATTTCTTTCAGTGATTTCTTATAGTTTTTAGTGTACAATTTGCAGATTACACTTTCAATTTAACCTTATGCATTTAAATTTTTAATGTTATTATAAATCATATTTTTAAAATATCAATTCCAGATCTTTTGCTAGTATAAAATTCTTATGCTGTTTAATATTGTTTTTTATAATTTTTAAATCTTGACTTTGTATTCTACAACTTAGGTAAAATTTTTTATTACTGTTATGAGCTTTTCTTGTAGATTCATTAGGGGTTTCTATATGGATGATTATAACCTCTCCAAACAAAAATAGCTTAACATCTTAATTTCCAATCCATGTTTTGTTTAGTTTTTACACATTTTTTCTCTATACTCAGTCTTAGGGAAAAAGCATTATTATTTTAGACTTAAAAAATCCTTTATATAAATGTGACTTTTGTTTTATCAGGCTTTCTTTATTTAGTTGTTAATATGAAATCTTCTGTAACATTTCCCCTTATTTATTTCTCTTTTTATTTTAATCCTTTTTGTATGTTTTCTTTTCCCTCATTTTTCTTTCATTTTACATGCTAATCAGAAGTACATTCAGCTAATCTTAATTTGTTTTATATTTTTTAGTTCTCATATTTCATTTTTTAGTTTTTCTTTTTATCCTGAAATGTATGTCTTTGCACCTGTAATAACCAAATTTTCTTGTAAATTTTTAATTTATTTATGAAAATTGATTTACAATTTTTGTTTTGTTATAATATGTAATCACTAGTTCAACTGTGGCTATTATTCTGTTTACTATATTGAACATTATATTGAATTGTTCCTGGCAGATTGGTGGCTCACGCCTGTAATCCCAGTACTTTGGGAGGCCTAGGTGGGTGGGTCATTTGAGGTCAGGAGTTCGAGACCACCCTGGCCAACATGTTGAAACGCTGTCTCTACTAAAAATACAAAAATTAGCTGGGCATGGTGACATACGCCTGTAGTCCCACCTACTCAGGAGGCTGAGGCAGGAGAATCTCTTGAACCTGGGAGGTGGAGGATGCAGTGAGCTGAGATCACGCCACTGCACCCCAGCCTGGAAAAAAGAAGGAGGAGGAGGAGGAGGAGGAGGACAAAGAGGAGAAGAAGAAGACATGTGTCTATGTGTTTGAATACTGTTTTATTCTTTTTTGTTTGTCTGGATTTCTTTGATACTTTTAATGAGTGCAAACCCTTTCCTCTTTCTTGTTGATAGCCCTAATCTTATAGATTCCTCTTAGATTTGATCTGAGCTCTAATAGGGCCAACGCTTCAATTAGGTTTAATTAAGATAAAATTATTCAAACCTTCAAATACTGGAGCTACTGCCTTTTTACTAGTCTTATGAATAATTGAGTGGAAGTGGGTTCACATCAGATTTCTCTTTGTTTTCTAGTCCCTCTTTTGTTGACGCTTTTATAATATAATTTGAAGTTGAGGACAAGGATGAAATAATACTAGAGCCAAATATTGTGTATGTCTCTCTCTCTCTTTCTGTGTGTGTGTGTGTGTGTGTGTATTTTCCAGATTCCTTTTTGTTCCAGCAGCCCATATTATCATCGCTTGCTAGGATTATTTTTCTTTTCTCAAGCTTTCAAAATAATTTTATCTGATGTACACCTGTATTTCCATCTTCTCTGACCCAAACAAGGTCATGATCCTATAAAATAAAGCTATCTTAGCTTTCTGCTACCTAGAAAGTGCTTGTTTAGTCTCTGGAGTTCAGCTTGTCTAGGCTTTCTCAGATACTTTAGTTTTTCTCAGATGCACAGAAAACTGATACTTTTAATTTTCTCTAAAATTTTCTTTTAGATACCATGGGCATCCTAAATAGTAGGAACATACATATATGTTCACTGTTAATCCCTTAACGCCTAGTGAAATGACTGTATAGGTTTGCAACTATCGTTACTGAAAATATATATGTTTACAATGGGTGTGCATTTGGTTATATTAAACAAGAGAGATTTCCACTTAAGACAAGTGAAATAAACATTGTATATAAACAGCAATTAAACAATTAATCCCTGAGAGGGAAATTATGGACATTTAAATTAGATTTCTATATACAATAGCTGGTTTATATAATAGTTTCAAAAATAAGGTACAATTGTACTGTGGAAATTTAGAAGGTAACCTTGACTGTATTGTTTTAGAGGGTAGCTGTGAAAAGTACAGAAAAGAATATGTTTTACAAAGGTAAACTTTTAGAAGGTGTTTATGAAAGGAAGAGACTATCTAGAAATAATGACATTCTCTATATATGATACAGGTTTAAAAATACTACTAAGTGTGGCAATACAAAAGTGTGTATTCATTAAGTTTACTTGAGAAGAAATAGCAGAGGTCAAATAATATATAATATCACAACTATGAAGCAGAGATTCTTCTCACTTTAGAGGGTAAGAAGTCTTTTTTATTTTATTTTATTATTATTATACTTCAAGTTTTAGGGTACATGTGCACAACGTGCAGGTTTGTTACATACGTATACATGTGCCATGTTGGTGTGCTGCACCCATTAACTCGTCATTTAGCATTAGGTATATCTCCTAATGCTATCCCTCCCCCCTTCCCCCACCCCACAACTGTCCCTGGTGTGTGATGTTCCCCTTCCTGTGTCCATGTGTTCTCATTGTTCAATTCCCACCTATGAGTGAGAACATGCGGTGTTTGTTTTTTTGTCCTTGCTATAGTTTGCTGAGAATGATGGTTTCCAGTTTCATCCATGTCCCTACAAAGGACATGAACTCATCATTTTTTATGGCTGCATAGTATTCCATGGTGCATATGTGCCACATTTTCTTAATCCAGTCTATCATTGTTGGACATTTGGGTTGGTTCCAAGTCTTTGCTATTTTCGAGACGGAGTCTTGCTCTGTTGCCCAGGCTGGAGTGCAGTGGCGCGATCTTGGCTCACTGCAAGCTCCGCCTCCTGGGTTCACGCCATTCTCCTGCCTCAGCCTCCATAGTAGCTGGGACTGCAGGCGCCCACCACCATGCCTGGCTAATTTTTTTTTATTATTATTTTTAGTAGAAATGGGGTTTCACTGTGTTAGCCAGGATGGTCTCCATCTCCTGATCCCGTGATCTGCCCGCCTCGGCCTCCCAAAGTGCTGGGATTACAGGCGTGAGCCACCATGCCCGGCCGGTAAGCCATCTTTTAAAACTCGAAAAGAATGGATGAGATAAGGTTTATGTAGGCTATGAATAAAGTGATTATATGATTTTAGATCCAAAGCAGTACACTTTATGTAGTGAAAGTGGTGCTATTAATAATGTTGGGAAATTAGGTATATACTCCTGGGATTGTCCTGGACAAGTTCCAAAATATGTTTCACTAGCAATAACTGTCTACCTCCTCCTTGTGACAAATGAGACTCATTGTAAGTGACACTCTACCTCGTAGTTGCCATGGCTTATGCCACTGAATGAGCAGGTGACTGAATCTTCCTAGAGGGAGTCTATATTTCTGATAATGGCTTCCAGTTGTCTACCAGCTATGATTCATTCTGATGCCATAGACTTGCTTTGTTTCTCTTGGCAAATTGATCAGGAACGCTGAACCTCAGTTTTCTCATATAAAAATGTGAAATTATCAAGCGATCTGTGATATAAACTCTAGCCACCTGAAGAAATTGGTTTTATCCTATATAGGACATGACTTTTATCAAAACTATAAAAGCTTTCTCATCTGACAATTATCTATTGATTTTTAGCTTTCAGCCACTCCTGCTTTTAAAAAGAGAAAAAATAAAAAGTCAAGCTTCTATTAAAATGAACAATATCAGTAATTAATATTCCATAAATTATTTTTGGCCTTTCTTTGTTTTGTTTTCCTTGATTTTATATAAATTTTCTTGAACATATAAAATTGGTTAATGGATGAAACTTTTAAAAATGTGATATTTTTCCATTTATAATTTTTTAATTTTGTAGACATAAAGGCCATTAAGTATCCCATTTTCTTTATTGTTGTGATATGGTATGACCATTTTATAAAACGTTACACATTAATTTATTTGTAAAATATGACAATTTGAACAAATATAATATGGTTTATTATTTATGACTCTACATTTTCAAGTTATGTACATTGTATAACTTTACAATTTATATTTTCAAGTTAATGTAATTATTAAATATTGCATGTATAAGTTCAACTTTTCAATGTTACATCATTTAAAATAATGTTCAGCACCTATGGGATGTATACATAAATGAGACATATATACTCAATATATTGTCTCATTTAATTCTCATAGCAATGGTATAGGGTCAGAATTGTAAAATCCTTTTAGAGACGAAAAATGTGAGATGTAATGGCCTGAAATAAATTCCCAAAGCCACGTCACCAGAAATGTTAAAGCTAAAAATGAACTCAAGTCTACAAAATTTTACAGTATGAATTCTTAACTACTTTCTACAGTTTCTTTAAGAGTCATAACAATGTGGGAAAGTTAGTATTATACAACTCCTCATTTCACAGTTGAGAAACATGGCTGTAGCCTAGAGAGGTTAGATAGCTCATGGTCAAACTATTACTAATTACAGAATTTAAAGAGGAACATTGAGTATTAATTTTTTTGTGTGTAGCCTATGTGGTATTTCATTTATATAATGGTTCTTTAATTGTATTTATTCAAAGTAATTATATCATTAATCTGAGAAAAAAGCAATAGCAATAATTCAAGCCAAAGCCACATAGAAGCATTTTTAAAATCATAAGTTGTGTATGTTTATTGAAACACTCTTTATTCACTTTGTCTCTTCAAATATAAAGAAAAGTCATTTTCAAGGGATTAGTGTAGCCAGAATGTGTCATGTGCTTATTACTTTGGTTGTTTCAACAACTTAATCTTACAGAAAAATGAAGATGAAAATGTTACTGAAGATACTACTATTTGATCAACCAATACTAATAATACATATTGTAATATACATGGTAAGCTGTCACCAATTTAGTTTTTGGTCTGGGATATAATTATAATAAACTGTACTCTGTAGTCTCTGTTCTTTCCCTATATCGTTTTTTTTTACTCTCTTCTACTTTAATTTTATTTTTTTAATGTAACCCTATTGCCAACATCACTTCTGCGTTTTTTTCCTCAAATTTTTATTTCCCTTTATATCTCTATATTCAAATAATAGTTCTTGTCTCTTTATACCTTTTTACAAATTTTCATATACTACAATTGCAAATTTGTCTTTGCTCTCTTTTAAACATTCATTCTTATAGAATCTTCCTTCTTTTTTATTGCAATCGAAATCCTCTTAATCATTATATTGGTTAAGTTTCCTTTATAAACAATAACTAATTTTAGTAGAAAATAAGTTCTTTCCTGACATTACTTTTCTTATAATATAATTGGAAGTATTAAAATAGTAGGTTTTAGACAAAGCTTCTAAAATAACCCTCTTCCCCCTAAATTACATTTCCTCTGTTGAGATTGTGATAACTACTCATTGCATTAAAACATGAGGCACAAACTTGACCATATTGGCTAAGCAAAAAGATATGAATGTTACCATTGCTGATGCAGGAAACCACAGCATCACACAGCCAGCCATGGATGGCTTAATGAGTAGTTAATGCATTGTGTCTGCTGCTTTCTATACCAGGAAAATAGATACCCAGGCATTTAACTTTTTTTTTCTACTTAATTCAGTTCTGAGTGTAAGTCTTATATGAAGAAATTTGATTAGTAGTACCTAAACAATATTTAGAAATTCAGCTATAGGACAAGCTGGAATATGCAGTTTATACCTTTCTGGGAGCTACTGTGGAGAAAGAATACTAGTAAGAGTTTGGAAGGAAAGTTGAGTAAGCCAATCTATAGTATCCATCAAAGTTCTTCTTATTTCAGTGTTAGAATCATGTGTGATTGCTTACTTTACTTGCTATACTATTCGGCCACATAAGGCATTGAATTCTACACATTTTTCTCTTATCATTTTTAATATGTCTACCAATTTCTTCCATTTCTACTATTTATTCTCTTTAAGTCATTTTGAAATTAGTCTCGTACTGTTACAAAAGCATCCTTACAGGCTTTTCAAAATCCAGGATTTTCTCCATACAGTAATTTTATTTAAATGCCCTTTAATAAGTAATTTTCAAAGAAATTCAACTTTCAGAGTGGTATCTGGAATCCTATTTACATTGAAAGGCTATTTCTCACTGCTCTGGACATGTAATTCAGAATGTACTTCAAGATGTTCCATGGTAAAGAGCTGCATGTCGTTGCAAATTTTCTGTGCCTATTCCCTTAGCTTAAAAATCCCTTGCTTCCTTTTGACAAATGTATAATTTTTTTCAGGGCTCAATTCATGTGCTATTTCATTCATTAAATATCCCTTATCCTAACTAAAAATAACAATTGTATTGTGAACATCCAATAATACTTAACCTCTGCTTTTCATACAGTATTTACTTGACTGCACTTCATATTTTCAATATTTACATATTATATTTATGTATTATATTATACTTAACTTATTTCCAGTTCCTCAAAGATCACGTACAAATCAAGTTATAAAAATGTGTATTGCATCTAACATAAATATATTTCTTGAATGAATGCATAAATGAACAATATGTAGATGACATTCTATAAATAAGGAAATAGGTGTCATGCAAAGAGATCATGGACACACCTAGTGGCAAGTCAACCCATTAGGCTATCACACTTTCACATACATATACAAACAGAAGAATATGATGCTTCTGAATTAGAGACACACACTATTTATTACAGTAAAACAGAAACTGGGGAAACATCTTGCACTGAGTCCTTGTATCACAAGTAGCATAATATTTCACAAGTGTTGTTTTGACCCAGTTTTGATAACATGGCTAAAACCTCCCAATTCGACTTCACAGGCAGTATGCTAAGTCCCCATCCCAACTACTTCCTTTATCAGCCCTATCCCAAACTGCCAAGTAAGTACCCCTAGATATTTAACAAACATGGATAGCCCTTTGTTCCTAGGGCCCTAAAACTACATCATTATACATTGTTTGTTTTAGATTTAATCAACTACACCTATGGTAAAACCTAAAAGATTGGATCATGAGGCCTTGAAATCTACATTTTCAATTCCCTGTTCATAGCATCCTCAAAGTGTAGATGAGCTGACTCTAGAGAAATAAATACATAACACTGATAATCTTGCAATATTTCCTTATGAACTCAAAAACCTGAACCATAAACATGTAAAGACCCTTATGCACATTAAATTCACTGACCTCTGTATGAGGACAGCTATGCCATTCTGCATGTTCCTTTTATACAATCTATTGTAAGATGCTTTTATTGAGATATACATATAGAAATAATCTAACTCTACCAAATAAAAATTTTTGGAAATTTATATGTTCATCACCCTGTATTATTTATGCAAATGTTATTCCACATAGGGTAAACACTTGTCTTGTTCTCATCTCTGCCAGAAACCGCATGTGATAGGTTTTCATGGATAGTTTTCTAATACATATATTTAAATCTTATAATTGTAAGGATTTTAAATGGGTTTTACTCAAGCGTGCTCTCCCTTTCCTTCCATAATCAATGGGTTGGGGTATATGTCTAACATAAGGTGGTCCACTCTGGAGCCAAAGGCTTTGATTGTCACAATAATGCTGTATGCAGTTCTCATATCCATCATCTCAGGCTTTTATAACAACATACCATAGGCTGGTTAGTTTAAAGAATAGAAATTCAGTTTCACAGTTCAGGAGGCTGGGAAGTTCAAGAGCAGGGTGACAGCAGATTCAGTTCCCAGAAAGGGCCCTCTTCCTGGTTTGCAGATAGCCACGTGCAGAGAGCACATGTCACTGTGCTCTCACATGGAGATAGCAGAGAACACATGTCACTGTGTTCTCACATGGAAAGAGTGAGCATGAGTGAATTTTGGTCCTTCTTTCACCTCTTACAGGGATGTTAATTCCATCATGACCTTATTTAACTCATATTACCTTCCAAAGACCCCACCTCCAAATAGCATCATGTTGTGGGCTAGGGCTTTAACAAGAATTTGTGGGATACAATATTCATAGCACTCTCTGCCCCAGTGCTGGCTGTTACTGGCTGTAAAAATGACTCCACTTTTGCTTATATTAGAAATTGCAGGAATACAGGATAGGATAGTTTGTATGAATCTCCATATCTACACAAATAGTAATAAAATTATGCTTTAGATCTATTGTTTTTCTGTTGTCAGAATGGCTATTGTCAGTTTCTCTGATTCACTGGTTTTCTCTGGTTTAGTCACTGTGGATTCCACTCTTCTCTTCCCAAGTCACCAACGCTCTGCCCAGCTGATTCCTTTGTTCATTCCTTTCCCCTCTCATATAGTTTCCTTGAATCTCTATTGCATTTTGTCAGGTCTTAGATTTTATAATTTTATCAATTCATTTTCTGCTTTACTTTTATTTTGAAAATCTGATTTGACACTTTGTCTTAAATTCTAAGTATTAGAGAATTCATATCTTTATTTATAATATTTTGAGTATTATACACGGTACTAGAATAAATAAGAGGAATGCACAATCTCTTTCTCCAAGGGGTTTACAGACTATGTTTAAAGTCTAATAGTAAATGAGCAATTTTAAAATCAGTGAAGAGCTGCTCTATCAATTAATCATTTATAGTCTGTGAGAACCTGCCCAAATCCATCTGGATTGAATGCATTAGGTGAAGAATCAAGGGAGATTTTCTAGAGAATACCTAATCCGGAGAAAAGCTAAATTATAGGATAGCTGAAACTATGATGGAGAAAATCTGAAACTTGAAAAAGTCCAGACTACATAGGTGAGGAATGGACGTGCAAGTAGGAAATGAAATCAGGAAAATCTCAGAAAAGAGTGAAAATGTGATAGATTCAGAATACAAAGTAGCTGGTCTCTGAGTGTTGGGGTATGAAACTAAAACGTAGGTGGGAATTGGACATAAAGGGTACTTACATGTTATTCTAATGTGTTTTTATTTATAGTCAAGGTTTAAGTACTAAGTTTTTGAATAAATGTGTGTAGGGAAATGACACTTTGTGGAGTTTAGTCAGGCATATTCATTTTAAGATGCCTTGGAATATCAAAGGAGACAAGTGCAAAAGGTAATTGAATGTATGGCTCTGGAGCCGAAGTCTAGACTAATGATGTATGTTTAGTATTCACTAGTGTATTGCTCTATTGAAACTATGGATATCCATAAACTTGTATTCTAAAGTGCTTAAGAAGATTTTTAAAAAGATTGGCAGCATAAATTTTGGGAAAATCAATATCATGCCCCATTGCTCCATAGCATAAAATCCAAAATTTTGTCCAACAGCTTATTCACACTTTTGCGTAATTGCTGGCTTTCTTATTTGATACTACAAAGAGACTGTACCATTTTTTAAACATTTTTTTAAAAATTTATTTTCCAAAATGAATTTTTTAAGAACAATAACTCAATATGATGTCTTTCATTGTAAAATTGTACTTTTTCTCCTGCCAAAAATTTGCTTCTTTATGTGGTCATATTTGACTCCTGATTATTACCCAAATTTTACATTTCTCAGGCCTTACAGTTATGACACTGGAAGAACATATTCATTGTTCCAATCGTTGGGTGAGTTTTGCTGGTTCTCCAGTTCTCCAGACTAAGCAGGAAGCAGAGAATAAGCAGGTAAAAAGATAAAAAAAGGACCCAGCGGTAGCACACAGACCAGGACTTCTTGAACTAAAGGACTAGCAAGCAGTACAGGTACTTCAGAAAGGTTAAATAAGGGAAATGTTGATTGACAAGAGACCATGGATTAGGGTATTAGGAGGTCACTAATTCAAGTGATTCCAGTGGAATGTTAATGGACAAAGTTAGATTGTGTAGATTGTCAAGTGAATGGGATAAGGTAATGAAGATGTTTAATATAAACCAATCTTAAAATAAGCTTATCTGTTGTGAAAAGATGGAGAAAGTTGGCACAGGTGGAAAGATTTTAAAGAGTAATAATTCATAATTTTCCTTGCTTGTTTTTGAATTAAGTGAATCTTGTTTACTTATCTCACTATTTTTTGAATATAGGGAAATACTTAAATATGATAGCTGTATCCAATTGTTATAAGTGGCTCAGAGAGTTTATTTATATTTAAAGATATCGGCGCTTATTTTTGAAGAATTTGCACTTCCATAAGATGTGTTGAAAGTCTATGATTTATGGAATAAGGGCACATTTAGACAACAGTTAAACTTTATCTTTTACTTTTTGTCAATTGTACTTTTTCAGGCTGATGTTTGTCTCTTAATGTGCCCACAATCCTGGAGTTTTCCAACATACATTATTAATATTAATTGTAGTTCCTTTAAAGTAATTACGGTTCTGTGAATAAGAATTGTTGAAATTCCTTTGAGGAAAGATTTCTCAGACGCGTTATATAATTATATATACCACTTTGAAATGCATGCATAATATATGTGTATAAGCAGTTTGTCTGAATGCTAATATGCATCTGCATGTAATATATACTTCTGAATCAATATATAAAATGTCCAATTTACCAGCTTTGCAAAACATTTACAAACAGAAAAGATATTTTCTCATACTTCTAGAATCAGTTTTTTTCTCATACTTCTAAAATCTGTTTTTTCTCATGTTTCTAAAATCACCATAACCTAATTATATTGCGAAGAACATTCTTTTTAAATATAAATATTTACATTCTTTTTAAGAATGTTCTTTATAACATTATTCGATTACGGTGATTTTAGAAGTATGACTTCTGACAAAGAATTGTAGCAATTGACTATTATGCACAGTAAATTTTTCATTATTGGACATTGTTCTGTTTTTACTGAATGTGTTGAAAAGTGACAAATTCAAATGATGTTGTGTCTTTGAAAAAAAATCCACTGATTAGTACTCATGTTCAAATTCCAAGTGCTTATCATTATTGCATTACTTGATGAACACAAATTTGAAATGCAAAGTGATAATTCGTTTGAAATGATGAAATGAGACAGGCACATGTATTCATATTTACTAATATGGCTTTGCATATTATGCAATAAACTGCATAATAAATTGTGCTATTTTGGCATTTTCGTCAGGAGTATTTTGAAGGTTTTAATGTGGTTACTAATAATATTTTAGAAAACAGTACAATTAATTTTGTGGTTTTTGGTAAATCTGCTTATCTTTATAGTGAGGATCAACTATGATTAAGTTTGAAAATTGCCATTCCCCTTCCAGTTATGGTTGCAAACAATTTAGTATTCTCGCATAGTCAATAAACATTGACAGAGACTTGGGAATAATCAGAGGAAATAGCATATGCTCCCTGCTGTAGAAGAATTTGGCCTATTATAAGAGACAGATCTGTGAGCAAGTAATTGCTGCTCTACATGGCTATGAACAAAGCACTGTGGGACCCCAAAGAAAAGAAAATTCGGCCTGGGCATAAGGGCCATAACGTGGGAAGAGTTGGTGAAACAAAGATTTATTTGAAGGTAATATTTACATTGGATTAGTAATGATGAATTGTAGGAATTTGCTTAAAAAGGCTAGGCTAATAAACAGGTACAGGTAAATATTGATGCTTATTAAATTCAAAAAAACTTTAAAGGAGATATAATAAGTATTGTTTTTTATCCTGCCTTTTAAAACTCATACAAACAAATCTGAATATAGATGCCTAGGCTGCACAAACTATGGGTGTGGTTCTGACAGTAAACTGAAATTTATACTAGGGGTTTATAAATATTTTGTTGATGGATCTCTCCACCTGTTGGATATTATCTTCATTAACCACCATGATGGAAGCCAAGGCAAGTGGTGAAACCAAATTCTCTGTGAATTTGAAGCCAATTTTCTCAGTCACTATATATGTGCTTGTGTGTGAGTATGTGTAATACCAGCATATATACCAACATTTACATATGTATTGTATAATTATTATTCAATATATGTGGTATATATGCTGGTATATATGCTATTAATTAACCACCAAATGCTAACAGAGATAGTTTTAATCTATGGGTACAATGGTGGAATAGAAAATAACCTAGTTGCCATGATTTCAAAGACATAGACATGCACACCAGTAATTTTGTCAAGGTAATCAAAATGTCAAAATCAGAAAAATTATATTCCTTATAGAGAACTATTTTTGTAAACTCATGTTAAAATTATGCTCCAGGTGTTGAAAATATGTAATATATTCAATTCCTTTAACTATTCACTGAGTGATTTTTAACTACTTAAGAAAAAAAGTTGAGTAACTGCCAGGTTGGTTTATCAAGATACTACCTCATTAGGGAAAAGGTTATTTCTCTCTTCAGGAATTTATCAAGTAACTTTGAAATAAATACTTTATTGTTTACAAATATAAAAAAGATAAATTCAAATTTTACTAACATGTTTATGCAAAAATGAGGCACATGAATGGATAGTTGTTTTATTTTGAAAGTTAAGTCTGATTGGAAAGTTTTGATACTGCAACAAAAAGCAAGCTTAAGTGAATGCTGATTATAATAAAATAAAATATTATGTCTTCAACAGCTCCATTCTGTGAAACATAAACATATGAATCAAAGCAGAACAATTTCAACTTACATTTTAAAGAGTATTAATACTATAGCCATGTCTTTACATTATTAAAATGAGTTTTTATTTATTATTATTATTATTTTATTATACTTTCAGTTCTAGGGTACATGTGCACAACGTGAAGGTTTGTTGCATATGTATACATGTGCATGTTGGTGTGCTGCACCCATTAACTCGTCATTTACATTAGGTATATCTCCCAATGCTATCCCTCCAACCTCCCCCCACCCCATGACAGTCCCTGGTGTGTGATGTTCCCCTTCCTGTGTCCAAGTGTTCTCATAGTTCAATTCCCACCTATGAGTGAGAACATGTGGTGTTTGGTTTTCTGTTCTTGCGATAGTTTGCTCAGAATTATGGTTTCCAGCTTCATCCATGTCCTGCAAAGGACATGAACTCATCGTTTTTTATGGCTGCATAGTATTCCATGGTATATATGTGCCACATTTTCTTAATCCAGTCTATCATTGATGGACATTTGGATTGGTTCCAAGTCTTTGCTATTGTGAATAGTGCCGCAATAAACATATGTGTGCATGTGTCTTTATAGCAGCATGATTTAGAATCCTTTGGGTATATAACCAGTAATGGGATGGCTGGTTCAAATGGTATTTCTAATTCTAGACCCTTGAGGAATCACCACACTGTCTTCCACAATGGTTGAACTAGTTTACAGTCCCACCAACAGTGTAAAAGTGTTCCTATTTCTCCACATCCTCTCCAGCACCTGTGATTTCCTGACTTTTTAATGATGGCCATTCTAACTGGTGTGAGATGGTATCTCATTGTGCTTTTGATTTGCATTTCTCTGATGGCCAGTGATGAGCACTTTTTCATGTGTCTGTTGGCTGCATAAATGTCTTCTTTTGAGAAGTGTCTGTTCACGTACTTTGCCCACTTTTTGATGGGGTTGTTTGTTTTTTTCTTGTAAATTCGTTTGAGTTCATTGTAGATTCTGGATATTAGCCCTTTGTCAGATGAGTAGATTGCAAAAATTTTCTCCCATTCTGTAGGTTGCCTGTTCACTCTGATGGTAGTTTCTTCTGCTGTGCAGAAGCTTTTTAGTTTAATTAGATCCCATTTGTCAATTTTGTCTTTTGTTGCCATTGCTTTTGGTGTTTTGGACATGAAGTCCTTGCCCATGCCTATGTCCTGAATGGTATTGCCTAGGTTTTCTTCTAGGGTTTTTATGGTTTTAGGTCTAACATTTAAGTCTTTAATCCATCTTGAATTAATTTTTGTGTAAGGTTTAAGAAGGGATCCAGGATCCAGTTTCAGCTTTCTACATATGGGTAGCCAGTTTTCCCAGCACCATTTATTAAATAGGGAATCCTTTCCCCTTTTCTTGTTTTTGTCAGGTTTGTCAAAGATGAGATGGTTTTAGATGTGTGGTATTATTTCTGAGGGCTCTGTTCTGTTCCATTGTTCTATATCTCTGTTTTAGTAAGAGTACCATGCTGTTTTGGTTACTATAGCCTTGTAGTATAGTTTGAAGTCAGGTAGCATGATGCCTCCAGCTTTGTTCTTTTGGCTTAGGATTGACTTGACAATGTGGGCTCTTTTTTGGTTCCATATGAACTTTAAAGTAGTTTTTTCCAATTCTGTGAAGAAAGTCATTGGTAGCTTGATGGGGATGGCATTGAATCTATAAATTACCTTGGGCAGTATGGCCATTTTCACGATATTGATTCTTCCTATCCACGAGCATAGAATGTTCTTCCATTTGTTTGTATCCTCTTTTATTTCATTGAGCAGTGGTTTGTAGTTCTCCTTGAAGAGGTCCTTCACATCCCTTGTAAGTTGGATTCCTACGTATTTTAACCTCTTTGAAGCTATTGTGAATGGGAGTTCACTCATGATTTGGTTCTCTGTTTGTCTGTTATTGGTGTATAAGAATGCTTGTGATTTTTGCACATGGATTTCATATCCTGAGACTTTGCTGAATTTGCTTACCAGCTTAAGGAGATTTTGGGTTGAGACGATGGGGTTTTCTAAATATACAATCATGTCATCTGCAAACAGGGACAATTTGACTTCCTCTTTCAGTGAATCAGTTTGTATTTTTAAGTGAATCAGTGCTTTTAAGATGAGCACTGCATGCATATAAAATATATAATTATTTTATATTTACTTATCAAATAGCTTGTTTCAAATCAACCCTAAAAAATAAAATTGTATTTATTTTCCAAAATAAATTTATTTTCATGAACATTAAAATGTTTTCTGATGCAAATTATACAGGAGAATATAGGAATACCATGCACAGTTAGACTAATTATCTAGCTAGTTTGGGATATGGAATATGACCTGTTTAAAATCCATGTCATGGCTTTTTTATGACAACCTCAGCTATTAGTGATATTTTATTAAGTATATCATTTTATTATCAAAATGTAGGGCCCTAACTCCCATTATTTTATATAAAATCTATAGAATATTTATAGCAATCAATAGAGGTGTAAACATAGATATTGTAATATGTAAATTTATGCAATATATTTTAATTTGAAATTATATAACTTGCACAACTCTAGTTGTATAAGTTAGATATCAAATTAAAACAATCAAATTTGATAATAAAAAGAGTCTCCATTAATAATTTTGCCCAATAAATTCATGCAATTTGAAAAAGATAGTCTTACAATTTCCCAGCAGTACTTAATTGGAAAACATGATATGGCACATTTCTAGGCTAAAATCTTTTATATTGATTTTTTTTGAGACATGGTCTAATTCTGTCACCCAGACTGCATCACAGCAGAAGTGATCCCCCCACCTCAACCTCCTGAGTATCTCGGACTACAGGTGCATGCCACCTGTAGAGACACGGTCTCACAATGTTGCCCAGGCTGTCTTGAACTTCTGATTTTAAGTAATCCTTCCACCTTGGCCTCTCAATGTTCACTGATTACTGGCATGAGCCACTGTGTCCAGCCTAAGTCTTAATGTGCATATACACACTATAAAATTTGGTAGTCTAAAATTAGTCATTCTTAGTTTAATTAAAGACACAGAATTTTGGCAGGGCGCGGTGGCTCACACCTGTAATCCCAGCACTCTTGGAGGCCGAGGCAGGCAGATCACTTGATATTAAAGCAGTTTGAGATCAGCCTGATCAACATGGTGAAACCCCGTCTCTACCAAAATTACAAAAATTAGCTGTGCGTAATGGCATGCACCTGTGGTACCAGCTACTTAGTACACTGACGCAGGTGAATCTCTTGAACCCAGGAGGCAGAGGTTGCAGTGAACCCAGATAGCGCCACTGCGCTCCAGCCAGGGCAACAGAGACAGAGACTCCATCTCAAAAATAAATAAATAAATAAATAAGTAAATAAAATAAATGAAAAATAATAAGCATAATATATGGAACAAAACTTTGCTAAAAACAAGCATAGTTGTATTAAAAGCTCAGGGATATGTTTTTAAATGAGTCACGTGTACAACATTTATTATTTATACTTGCAGGAATCTAACAAGTTTGTGTGTGTGCGTGTATTTGTGCATGTACACCTATGTTAGGATTTGAAGGAAAGAGGGTAAAATAAGTTACCCAAAGTCGAAGTGACTTCTGCTTGTGGCAATTTCCTGTGGTTTCTGGGAGCAGGCAGTTGAGTGTGCTATTGTCAGCAAAGGACACTGAGCAATAAATAAAGGACACTGGCTTTGTAAAACTGAGGGGATTCCAGGGGAACAAACAGGAAGGCAGCTCCGACTTTCACTAATCTTGTCACGTAAGGTCACCTTGGACGTATGATTAGAAAGCTAAATGATTGACTTGAATTATTTTCAATTCGGTTAATACATTACTAAGAAGTGTTTTAAATTGATTATAGAAGAGTAATCAACGCTAAGGGCATACTACCCTGAATGTGCCCGATCTCCTCCGATCTTGTGGGCTAATCAGGGTCGGGCCTGGTTAGTGCTTGGATGGGAGAACTGTGATCAAAACATCATACAGATTCCCCTGAGATGCATTAAGAAATCTTTCAGTCAAAAAAAAAAAACAAGAAAATCTTTCGGTAGAAACCTTCACTATTTATTATTTTTACTAATGTCTACTTTTTTTTTTTTTTTTTTTTTTTTTTTTTGAGACAGTTTCGCTCTTGTTGCCCAGGCTGGTGTGCAATGGCGCAATCTCCCCTCACCGCAACCTCCGCCTCCCGGGTTTAAGCGATTCTCCTGCCTCAGCCGAGTAGCTGGGATTACGGGCATGCGCCACCACACTCAGCTAATTTTGTATTTTTAGTAGAGATGGGGTTTCTCCATGTTGATCAGACTGGTCTCAAACTCCCAACCTCAAGTGTTCCTCCTGCCTCGGCCTCCCAAAGTGCTGGGATTACAGGCGTGAGCCACCGTGCCCGGCCCACTATTATTTTATTTCTTAAACTTTCTAAAATGTTCTTCCCTTAGATCATGAAAATCAATTAAGTATAAAACCAGGGTTTACAATGGATGTTATTCAACATGGAAGGATATGGGGAAAATTCCATGGTGTATTAATTATAAAATTAATATTATAAATTATATAATCTCTCTTTCCTTCAATTACAGTGGAAATGTGACCCTGTCCTACCAAAGACAAATCCTTCTACTTGTGTCTTGGAACCCATTTGATCTTGCTTTCTCAAGAAATGCTTTTCTACAGCTCTGCCCTCCTTCATCTCTAATGTTGACTTCTCCTTTCCTCTGGCTCATTTTTATTAGCATATAAGTGTACTTTGCATGAATCTTCTTGAAAAGAATACCTTCATTACATTTACTTTTGAATCTTCAGTTCATCTTTCAAATCTACTACTCAAATTGCTTTTGTCAGGATCACCAATCTTGCACAGCGTTGTACTTGGCTGTGTATTATCCTTAACTGCCACTATTTACATTCTCATTTGACTTTTCTTCTTTCTCTGACAAACCTTAGAATATTGGAATTTCTGAAAGCAGACCTAGCTTTGCATAGATGTATATGTGCGTGTGTATAAATATATATATATATATATTTGCTGATAAATGTTACATTTGCATCTTTAGTGTTGTTCACTTTTATAATCTTGGGTTTCTTATATCCATTATCCAACATAAAAAAGATTATTGTTTGCATGTCAAAAATAATGTTAAATATAATATATTCAAATTTGCATTTTCTATTTTCCCATTCCAAAATCTTTCTTGTCTATTCTTGCTCTCAGTGGGTCTCAGCTCATTCTGAGGCCAAATAACTATGAATCATTCTTGATTCAACCTTTTTTTCTCAATAACCCCACCCCATTTACATTGAATACATCAATGAATACTGTGGCAAATTTTAAATTCTCCCACTCTGGTGTGTCTCCAGATTTTTTAAAGCAACCTCCACTCTCACTGGTGGCACTACAATAACATTGTTAACACTCAATTTTGATTCAAAATTTACCCTCACTATCCACTTAGTAGCCAAAATGCTATTTTACAAGCCAGATCACATAATTTTTTAGTTTTAAAACAAATAAACACATCAAACCAAAATTATTACCTATGGCTTTCATGGCTAAACATATCTGTGTGCAATCCACATTTTGAAACTCTCCCTTTAAATTTTTCAGTGGTTCAATATATTCCAACACAAGAGACCACTCCTTCTCCCTGCTTATTTGTCTTTATATCATTTGCTTGCCATACTCACTATGGCCTGCGTTAGGAACACTCTTCCACTGGTTTGTCCCGTGACTCGTTCCTTCTCGTCAACTATGTCTCATCTCAAAGCGGATATCTGAAAGACCTGCCCCACCCATATTATTTAAAAGCCTGCTCACATCTTTCTATTTTAGTTAGTCTCTGGCACATACTTATCTCTTATTTCCTTCTTAGCACCTGTACTAATATTGCTCATTTGGATTTGTAAGCACAGATCTGTATAGTCCTTCCTCTCACCAAAGTTTATTCCATGAGAGTGAGAATTTTGTATTATGCTTCCTGTTGTATACTTAGCTTGTTGAACACTTTCTCACACAGGAGAGATACTCTGAAAATGTCAAGTTATAAAATGAATAAGATATTGATTTAATCTGCTTAAATTTATAAATGCCTAGTAAACACTAAAATAATGTATAAAATATTTAATAATTATTTCATTAGCTATGAGTATTGTTTTAACTAAAACTAAATTTTTATTTACAAATGAATGGATAAGTTATTACTTAGCTATACAATAGAAACTTACTTATTAATAAAAGCAATGAATTATTGACATGCAACAACACGGATGAGTATTAAATCACTATGATGAGCAAAATATCTAGACAAAATATGTATGTACTGTGTAATATCCTTTATATAGATGTATACATAATAGAGTTCTCTCTACAACAGAAAGCCAGTCAATGGTTGCGCATGTACAGAATCTAAAGACATGAGGAATATTAATATGTTTGGTGTGATAAAAATGTATTTTTATTGGAATTTTGGTTCCATGAATGTATGCATATGTGAAAATCCATCAAATTGTTCACTTTAAATATGTACAGCTAATTGTGCAGAAATTATTCTTCAATGAATTTGCAAAAAATACATCCAAATGAGAAATAATTTGGATTGGTGTTTCTTGGTGTTTCATTAGGAAATTCTTAAATTGAAAGTAAGCTTGAAGAGGAATGTAGCTATTTATTACTAGTGATAATGCATGTACCAAACACCATGGTGATAGGTTTTTACATTCCAATATGCAGACTTTTGTGTTAGGTACCCACATTCTGATGATGAGTGTCCTGCTGCAAAATTGAACAATGTCAAGTGAATCAAACTTCAGTGCAGTGATAATAATTGTTTTTCAGCAGAGAGGAAAGTATATTGACTATTTAAAATATAGTTTTTCTGCCTTCTCAGTAACTGGCATTAATTTTTCTTTGACAGCTGGATTCCAGCTGTCATCCATTTCAAAGAGAAATTATTTAGATATAAAATGTTTAGGTAAATTATTATTTTCCAAAATACAATGATTTAAACATTCTCATAAATCTGTAAGAGCAAAAGAGTTAGTACTTTCTCAAAACATAATGTTTTTTTCATAAATGTGTTCGCTTAATGCGTATTGATCTTACACAATTCTTCATATAGGTGTAATTATTTTCAATTAAATTTATTTTAATATTTTTCAGCATAACATGGGAGTCAAAACACATTAAATTGGAATCTTTAAAAGAATTTGGAATAAAATGATCAAAATAAAATAAATAACAATATAATGAAAATAATATTATATAAGTAATAATGTTAAAAACATATAATATTCATTTATAAATTACCTCATAGGTATACAGCCATTCAACTATTATTCAAGTAATACTAAGTGGTTATTCTGTGCCGAAAACTGTGCTGCACAATAGGACCACAAAGATGAATCTGACAGAAACTCTGCCTTTTATAATGGCACCCATTTAAAATTATTAATTATAATAATAAACATAAAACTATCTGCAGAGAAATAATACAGCATAATGATTAAAATACAGGGATTTTGGAGGAAGAAAAACCTGAATTTCTACCTTAGCCTTACTACTTCATGTAAGGTACTAGACATCTCAATTCCCTACCTTAAAAATGTGACTAGTAATACCTTCCCTGTAGATAAGGACTTGTGAGAAAATAAATGTTTGTCAATTATTACTCAGTCACTGGCAAAAAGAAAAACATAAATATATTTATATCCCTTGTATTCTCTAAGCTCTTGAAGAGGAGAAATTGTTTAATATACAATTCATTTTTAACCAAAAAATCAATATACTTGTGCAACCACCAACCAGATCAAAATGTAAATTTCCAACATTCCAGAAAACTCTTTTGAGCATTATTCATGTAATACTTTCCGAAGACAATCACTACAATTTTCTGCTTGAGTAATTCATGTAAATGCCATTATATAGTATGCAATCTTTGTTTCTTTTTTTTTTAATACATTAAGTTCTGGGATACATGGGCAGAATGTGCAGGTTTGTTACATAGGTATACATGTGCCATGGTGGTTTGCTGCGCCCGTCAACCCATCATTTACATTAGGTATTTCTCTTAATGCTATCCCTCCCTTTGACCCTTACCCCCTGACAGGCCCTAGTGTGTGATGCTTCCCTCCCTGTGCCCATATGTTCTTATTGTTCAACTCCCACTTATGAGTGACAACATGCGGTATTTGGTTTTCTGTTCCTGTGTTAGTTTGCTGAGAATGATGGCTTCCAGCTTCATACATGTCCCTGCAAAGGACATGACCTCATCCTTTTTTATGGCTGCATAGTATTCCATGGCATATATGGGCCACATTTTCTTTATCCAGTCTAACATTGATAGGCATTTAGTTTGGTTTCAAGTCTTTGCTATTGTGAATAGTGCTGCACTAAACATATGTGTGCATGTGTCTTTATGGTAGAATGATTTACAGTCCTTTGAGTATATACCCAGTAATGGGATTGCTGGGTCAAATGGTATTTCTAGTTCTAGATCCTTGAAGAATCACCACACTGTCTTCCACAGTGGTTGAACTAATTTACCCTCCCACCGACGGTGTAAAAGCGTTCCTATTTCTCCACATCCTCTCCAGTATCTGTTGTTTCCTGACCATGCTAACTGGTGTGAAATGGTATTTCATTGTGGTTTTGATTTGCATTTCTCTAATGACCAGTGATGATGAGCTTTTTTTCATGTTTTTTGGCCACATAAATGTCTTCTTTTGAAAAGTACCTGTGCATATCCTTAGCCCACTTTTTGATGGGGTTGTTTGTGTTTTCCTTGTACATTTGTATAAGTTCCTTATAGATTCTGGATATTAGCCCTTTGTCAGATGGATAGATTGCAAAAATTTTCTCCCATTCGGTAGGTTGCCTGTTAACTTTGATGATAGTTTCTTTGCTATGCAGAAGCTCTTTAGTTTAATTAGATCCCATTTGTCCATTTTGGCTTTCATTGCCATTGTTTTTAGTGTTTTAGTCATGAAGTCTTTGCCCATGCATATGTCCTGAATGGTATTGCGTAGGTTTTCTTCTAGGGTTTTTATGGTTTCAGGTCTTACATTTAAATCTTTAATCTATCTTGAGTTAATTTTTGTAGAAAGTGCAAGGAAGAGGTCCAGTTTCAGTTTTCTGCATATGGCTAGCCACTTTCCCCAATACCATTTATTAAATAGGGAATCCTTTCCCCATTGTTTGTTTTTGTCAGGTTTGTCAAGGGTCAGATTGTGGTAGATGTGTGACATTATTTCTGAGGCCTCTTTTCTGTTCCATTGGTCTATATATCTCTTTTGGTACCAGTATCATGCTGTTTTGGTTACTGTAGCCTAGTAGTATAGTTTGAAGTCAGTTAGCGTGATGCCTCCAGCTTTGTTCTTTTTGCTTAGCATTGTCTTGGCTACATAGGCTCTTTTTTGGTTTCATATGAAAATTAAGGTAGTTTTTTCTAATTATGTGAGAAAAGCCAATGGTAGCTTGATGGAAATAGCATTGAATCTACAAATTACTTTGGGCAATATGGCCATTTTCACGATATTGATTTTTCCTCTCCATGATCATGGAATGTTTTATTTTTACATCATCTGTGTGAGAGCCATCATATTTCCACATGAGGCAATATTTCATTTCTCATCAGTGGTATGAAATATCTGATTGTTTAGATATCTATTCTCATATATATATATAAATCTTAATTATTTTCAATTTGAGATTGTTATAGGTGATAGGTAAAGTTTATTTTTTGTTGTTAAGTTTGCATCAATGTTTGTAAAAAACAGTATGGTTTAGTGTTAAATCATGATATCTTATGGGTTATCAAGGCATACGATCAAGTTTGCCCCTCATTATAACAATGTTGATTATTTAACACAATCTTTCTAAATTTTCCCCACTATGACACACATGGAAAATGGCAGTATTTCTATGGCACAGGGGGTAAATGGAAGTGGTGCTTGCAGCCAGAGTTATGTAGCCTGGTAGCTCCAGCCATGGGGAGGGTGGAGTGGATTGCTAAAAGCACATCAGTAACCAGCTTGCAGGAATTTGTGACAGAACCATGTTATTTGTTCATTCTACAACTGTCATAAATCATGCACTACAATATTTAATGGATAAATACTGTTCTTCTGGAACTAAATTGGGAAGATGGGTCACCATTTATAATTAAATGTAAGCAGTAAGTACGCAACCACACTGTTTAATGCCATAATTCCCAAAGTGTGGCTCCTGGACCAGCAGCATATATGCCTCCAATGTAAATATCAGGGCTGCTGGTTGCAGGACTCATTGATCTGCAGTTTAACAAGCTCTTCAAGTGATATCGACGTCTGCAAAAATTACGAGAACCACTGCCTTAGCAGAAGCACACTCAATGTCTTGATTTTAACACAACTGCAGACTGGAACACAGGCAGCTGTGCAGCCTTAGGGCCCTGTGCCTGTACAGGAAGACTCTGGCCTATGTAGGGATGCCTGGTCATTCCAGAAGATAGACCTATGTGCCAAAGCTACTGGTGTTTGAGGGCCATGGCCACCAATAAACAGGTCTCTATCTCCAGGCAGATAGTGCTGAGTTCCTGCTGCTCTATTCTTTTTCTTGTCTTTTAGAGCCATAGGCACTCATTTCTGTTAAGAGTATATTCAATTTTAGTATTGGTAGGTCATGAGTTTATATATGTTTAGCTTTAGTAGATATTAGCAAACAATTTTATAAAACAGGTGCACCAATTTATACACCTGCTAGCAGATACTGGCATGTATGGGGCCCTCAATAGAGGAACTTATTTTAACTGACTTAAGTGTTCACTGAAGAAATGATAAGCAGAAACTTCTAAATACAGACAACAGAGAAAATGCATTCTAGAAAATAATCAGGATATGTATCACAAACCATTATGCAACAGATGGGTATTGTCACTGATACTAAATAAGTGAGCATGTCTTGAGCTGAGGTCAAGTGAGTAGATGTGAGATGCAATCTTTGAAAAGTGTGAGATAACCATTTTATAAATCAAGATTCTGAATTTTAAAATTAAAAACAATAAAACATTACAAGTCATCTTTTGTGTATGTTTACATTGTTCTATACTAACTCTTTCTAATCTGTACAAAAAGACATACTAAGTTCGTGGAATATCCATAGTTGTTTCATGAAAAGGGTCTACATTACCAAAGCATTTGGTATATTTTGGCATTCTGGGTCCCAAAAAGTTGTAATGGTTCTCTTACTGTATTACTTCTCAGAGTCTTGATGTCCTACATTAGGAATCTCCATTAGGCAAAGGAAGACAGCTTTTCCAAATCTTACAAGATGGGGAAATTTTTCTCTTATTAAGTGTCTTGTAAAGCAATGAGTTTTAAGTCTGCATTTATCTGTGGTACCTGAAAACCTGAAGTTAAATAGAGAAAGAAAGCAATGCTTAGTCACCTAATCCTCGCCTCTACCTGCACCAACCTGTTTTCTTTAATAGTTGCACAACTATGATTCAGGTACATATTATCTTTAAACTACACAAATGAAGAAAAGACTAAAACAAATTTTGGTAAAATTTGTAACTAATATAATTTAATGGAAGAAAATATTTTCCTAGTATTTTCTCATAATGTGTAAGGAAAGAATGCTTGCCAGAATGACTATGAGGCAAGATTAATGGTAGTGATGGGCCTTAGGTAATAGATATATTTGGCAGATACAAATATTATTATGTGTAGAACAAAGAGTTCAAATTAAGGAATAATATACAGAATATTATACAAGTATGAGTCTGTGGTGTTTGAAATAATAGATGTAAAAAAGGAAATATTAAATGCTGAAAAAGAGTATTATAACTAGGTCAGTATGGAGTAGAATTATGAGACTTTTCTGAATTGAGTAGAAATATGATTGGGGCTGTATAATGTGAGAATTCACATTGATGATTGTATTAGGCAGTTCTTGCATTGCTATAAATAAATACCTGATACTGAGTGATTTATAAAGAAAAGAGGTTTACTTGGCTTATGGTTCTGCAGACTTAAGGGAAGCATGGTGCTAGCATCTGCTTGGCTTCTGGGGAGGCCTCAGAGAGCTTACAATCATTGCAGAAGGCAAAGGGGGAGCAGGCACATCACATGGACACAACAGGAGTGAGAGAGGGAGAGAGAGAGGTGGAGTGAGGTGTCACACAATGTTTCAGGAAGTCAGGGACCCCAAACGGAGGGATCGGCTGGAGCCACAGCAGAGGAACATAAAGTGTGAAGATTTCATTTTAATATGAACATTTATCAGTTCCCAAATAATACTTTTTTAAATTTTGCCTGTCTTAATCTCTTAATCCTGTCTTA